>NC_000002.12:19933997-20085512 GCF_000001405.40 Homo sapiens | reverse complement strand
TTGAGGATAGGAGAGTATATGGGTTTGGCACCACGGGGTGGATATGCAAAACAATTTGGTTGATAAGGCACAGATCCTGAACTAACCTGTAAGACCTGTCCAGTTTTTGAACAGGTAAAATGGGGGAATTGTAAGGAGAGTTTATAGGCTTTAAAAGGCCATGCTATAACAGGCTTTAATCCTTTTAAAGCATGCTGTGGGATGGGATATTGGCATTGAGCGGGGTAAGGGTGATTAGGTTTTAATAGGATGGTAAGGGGTGCATGATCGGTCGCAAAGGAGGGAGTAGAGGTGTCCTATACTTGTGGATTAAGGTGGGGAGATACAAGGAGAGGATATGAAGGAGGCTTTGAACTGGGGAAAAGGGTGGCAGTGAGGTGTGGCTGTAGCCTAGGAATAGTCAGGGAAGCAGATAATTTAGTTAAAATGCCTAGACCTAATAAGGGAACTGGGCAGGTGGGGATAACTAAAAAGGAGTGCATAAAAGCATATTGTCTAAGTTGGTACCAGAGTTGGGGAGTTTTAAGAGGTTTAGAAGCCTGGCTGTCAATACCCACAACAGTTATGGAGGCAAAGGAAACAGGCCTTTGAAAAGAAGGTAATGTGGAGTTGGTAGCCTCCGTATTGATTAAGAAGGGGACAGATTTACCCTCTACTGTAAGAGTTACCAAAAGCATCTGTGATGGTCCAGGAAGCTTCCGAGGCAATCGGGCAGCATCAGTTTTCAGCTGCTAAGCTGGGAAGATCTGGGAAGGAGTCAGTCAGACAGCCTTGGGCCAGAGTTCCAGGGGCTCTGGGAGTGGCTGCCGGGTGAGTTGGACGGTCTGATTTTCAGTGGAGTCCTGCACAGATGGGACACAGCCTAGGAGGAATCCCAGGCTGCGGGCATTCCTTGGCCCAGTGGCCAGATTTCTGGCACTTGAAGCAAGATCTTGATGGAGAAGATCCTGAAGGAACACCTGACTGCTCTAGCTTAGGCATTTTGAAGTTCTTGTGTGCTGGAGATGTGGCTGGGGTTTCTCTCACAGCAGAGGCAAGTAACTGCAACTCTTCTCTATTTTTGTACACCTCGAAGGCAAGGTTAATTAAGTCCTGTTGTGGGGTTTGAGGGCCGGAATTTAATTTTTGGAGCTTTATTTAATGTTGGGAGCAGATTGGGTAATAAAATGTATATTGAGAATAAGATGGCCTTCTGACCCTTCAGGGTCTGGAGCCATAAAGTGTCTAAGGGTTGTTGCCAAATGGGCCATGAACTGGGCTGGGTTTTTATATTTGATGAAAAAGAGCCTAAACGGTAACTGATTTGGGAGAGGTTGGATAAAGAAAAAGGAGCATTAACCTTGACTATGCCTTTAGCTCCAGCCACCTCTTTAAGAGGAAATTGTTGGGCAGGTGGGGGAGGGCTAGTTGCAGAATGAAACTGTAAGCCAGACTGGGTGTGGGGAGAGGAGGTGATAGAAGGATTATAGGGTGGAGGAGCAGAAGCTGAGGAAGAATTGGAGTCTGATTCAGCCTGGCAGGGAGTGACCTAAGAAGCAGTCTGGGGATGAGGGGACAGGTCAGATGGGTTGGTAGAAAAGGAAGATTGAAAAGACTCAGCAACGCTTGGGGTTGGGACTGAGGGAACAGGCGGGAGGGAAAGAAGGAGGATTTGGGATGAGTCGCATTGGGACTAGGGAGGGACCGATGTGTAAAAGAATGCCTAGACATCAGGCACCTCAGACCGTTTGCCCATTTTATGACAAGAATTATCTAGATCTTGTAGGATGGAAAATCGAAAGTGCCGTTTTCTGGCTATTTGGAACCATTGTCGAGTTTGTATTGGGGTCAAGCAGCATTGCAGAAGAAAATAAGGCATTTGGGTTTTAGGTCAGGTGTGAGTTGAAGAGGTTTTAAGTTCTTGAGAACACAGGCTAAGAGAGAAGAAGGAGGAATGGAGCATGGAAGGTTGCCTATAGTGAAGGAGGCAAGCCCAGAGAAAAGAGAGGGTAGAGACATGGAGAGAAGGGTTGGGGGGTGCTTGCCCCCCAGGAAAGTGGTGCTTGCCACTAAAGGTGAAGGATCAAGGCAGGAGTCCCTGTGGTGATCAGACACCTCTGAAACGTGGGTGAATAATCAAGCAGGTGTCCCCATGGTGATTAAACACCAAGGGAAGACTGTCTTCCCAAGTCTGACTGGCACCAGAGTTTTGGGTTCATGGATAAAATGCATCTCCTCTGTCTCTACCAGAAAAGGAAAGGAACTGAAATTAAGAGAAGGGAGAGATTGAAATGTGGCACCAAGATTGAAAGGAGAAAGAGGTTGAGGGATAGTGAGAGAGGTTGGAGAAGAGAGTAAAGAGAGGCCACTTACCCAATTTAAAATTGGTGAGATGTTCTTTGGGCTGGTTGGTCTGAGGACCAGAGGTCATAGGTGGATCTTTCTTATGGAAAAAGAGCAGGAAGACAGGGGATTGATCTCCCAAGGGAGGTCCCCCGATCCGAGTCACGGCACCCATGTGCGTGACTGTGCGTCCATGTGACGTGCGTCACATGTGAAGAGACCACCAAACAGGCTTTGTGTGAGCAATAAAGCTTTTTAGTCACCTGGGTGCAGGCAGGCTGAGTCCAAAAAGAGAGTCAGTGAAGGGAGATAGGGGTGGGGCTGTTTTATAGGATTTGGGTGGGTAGTGGAAAATTACAGTCGAAGGGGGTTTTTCTCTTACGGGCAGGGGTGGGGGTCACAAGGTGCCCAGTTGGGGAGGTTCTGAGCCAGGAGAAGGAATTTCACAAGGTTAATCACTCAGTTAAGGTGGGGCAGGAACAAATCACAATGATGGAATGTCATCAGTTAAGGCAGGAACCAGCCATTTTCACTTCTATTGTGATTCTTCACTTGCTTCAGGCCACCTGGACGTATATGTGCAGGTCACAGGGGATATGATGGCTTAGCTTGGGCTCAGAGGCCTGACACTGGGAGGCAGAAGTTGCAGTGGGCCAAGATTGCGCCATTGCACTCCAGCCTGAGTGACAGAGTGAGACTCCATCTCAAAAAAAAAAAAAAGAAAGAAAAAGAAAAGAAACAGAAAAGAAATGTATTCAGCTCATGGTTCTGGAGGCCAGGAAGTCCAAAAGCATGGCACCAGCATCTGTGAGGCCATGCTTGGTGCATCACAACATGATAGAAGGCATTATATGGCAAGAGGGCAAGAGCAAGAGAGCCAGAGAGAGCTTGCTTTTTATAGCGGAGCCACTCCCATGATGGCATTAATCCATCCTTGAGGGCAGAGGGCTACATTTCCAATGCATGATCTTTTGGGAGACACATTCAAACCACAGCAGATTTTCTTGCTAAGGAGAAGCACAGCAGGCAATCAGAGGGTGGGGAGAGAATGAGGTAGGAGTATTTACTCCCTCCACTGACCCCTGCCCTGCCACCAACCTTGCTGAGCTCAGGTGCCGGCTGCATTCCTCAATCTATGGGGAGCTTCAGCTCTGCCAGGTTCCTGCCAGGTAGTTCCTTCCCATTGCCTCTCCTGGCCTAGTTTCCTGCTGCAGCTAGTTCTTGGATGTCCTTAATCTTGTGTTGCCAGAAAAAAAAAAATAGAATGCCCTGTTAAATTTGCTTTTCAGATAAATAATGAGGACTTTTTTTTTTTGAGATGGAGTTTCGCTCTTGTTGCCCAGGCTGGAGTGCAATGGTGCGATCTTGGCTCACTGCAACCTCCACCTCCCAGGTTCAAGCGATTCTCCTGCCTCAGCCACCCTGGTAGCTGGGATTACAGGCATGTGCCACCACGCCCGGCTAACTTTTTGTATTTTTAGTAGAGATGGGGTTTCTCCATGTTGGTCAGGCTGGTCTCGAACTCTTGACCTCAGGTGATCCACTTGCCTCAGCCTCCCAAAGTGCTGGGATTACAGGCATGAACCACCATGCCTGGTCAATAATGAATAATTTTTTAGTATAAATATGTCTCAAATATTATTGCTTTAGGTATACTTATAAGTATTTATCTTGAAAAAATTATTCATTGCTTATTTGAAATGCAAATTTAACTGGACAACATATTTTTATTTGCTGAATCTGGCAATGCAGGCTTAATCCCTCTAAGCCCGCCCACATTCTGTAAGGGTCCCTTCATTAAACCTTTTCAGCAGAATCTCTGGCAGGTTTCCTGCTGCTTCTGACCCACAAACAACAAGCCCTCCTATTTCTACAGAGTTTCTTGGTGTTGCAGCAGCTGCAGGCCCTGCCCTCACTGGGGGTGAGCCTTACCAGGGCCCCTAGCCCCAGGTGCCCACATCTGCTGTCATGCACCCTCGTCCTTCAATGCATAATACCTGGAGGCCCTGAGGGGAGCCCCTTGTGGGAATCAAGAGGCATTTGCTCTCTGCATGGAGCAGAGCTCAGGCGGGACAGTGCCTGGGAACAACAGCTGGACCCGACTGAACCTCCCCCACAGGCTTCAATGCCTTTGAAGAGAGGCTCACACCGCCCCACAGCATTATAGCTGGAGGTGGTGCAGGGCAGTGGAGCCGCCCAGGCTCTTCAAGAAGGCAGCCTCACAGCCACTTCCTGCTTGGGTGGCCTTGACGGCTCTGAGCTTCAGTTTCCCATCGATAACTTGGAGGAAATATACTCCCCCCTCCCCCACCCAGGACTGTTAAGAGGAATGGAGATAATCTACGTAAACATTTTGCCATGTAAGAGGTATTCCAAAACTCATAAGCATTGTAATTACAGTGAGTTGTATGTGTCTGTCTCCCTCCCACAACCCCCGTGGGCTAGCCAATGGCAGTTCTCAGAACAGTCCATGGAGTAGGAGTTAAACTGGGTTAACCATCTGACAAAGGTCGCCGGATGGAGAGAACCGGTGCTGTCACTGAGTGAGTTTCCAAGAAGGAAGAGTTTATTGCCAGGGGCCAGATTTGAACCTTCAAAGGCCCTGAGCAGGACGCTAAGCCCAATTGTGAAGCAAGCGGAGTCAGCGACCTCTTTCTGACCTGCACACAACAAGCCCTCCCATGTCCACCGCAGTTCTGAGTGCTGCAGCGGTAGCAGGCCCCGCCTCACTGGAGTGACCATTTTGATGATTTTGTTTTAGCCTTCAAGCCCCCTCTCCACCTTGTTTTGTGCATGTGATGCGGCTTTGCTGATGCATTAAGTTCAAACTTTATCTGTTTGTCATGTTACCCTGCACTGGGAGATGGGGCTGGGACAGGGTGTTTCTGGGGCAGGGGGCCTCTTCTTCCAGACAGTATTCAGACCTGCGCGCAGCTCTCTGGCGCCTTCTACTTCTTAGGAGTGCCAAGATTTCTCCTCCAGGGCCACAACCTGGTAGATCATGTTATTCTGTTGCTGGTTTTCCCTGGGTCATCACCCGTTCACCAGCTCGAGGATGCCCTGGCCAGAAACCCAGGGGTTTTCGGGAGTACTGTGGAAGGTGGAGGGGGGTGATGGGGCCCACTTAGGAAGCCTAGAATGGTACCTCAGACACCCCTACTCCAGTTGACAAGGGACCTCTGAAGACCCTGGGCCTGTCACTGAGGCCAGCCGACTCCTGGTTTGGCATATGGTTGGGTATGGTATCCAGCACAGACCACCCAGCACAGGCCTCGTCTGGGCTTTGCAAAATAAACACCTGGCCACATAAAGGCCAGAGCCCCTGCTAGCCTCAGACCTCCAAGGCTCCTCATGTCCCCATGGAGCCAGGCCAGGGCAGGCTGGAGGTAACCCAGTGGAGACTGGGGAAGATCAGAACCACCTTGCAAATCCAAGTGCCTATTCTTCAGTCATGGGGACAGAAGCCCCACCTCCACACCCCATTCCAGATGCCATTCTGCAGAGAGGCAAGAGAAAGGGAAGGAAAGCTGAGACCAAGCTGACGGAGGAACCCCGTTCAGAGGCTGAGCACCTATTAGCCAGAACATCATGTAGAGGATTCATTTAACCTAATGCAGCAAATGAAGTCTCTTCCACGGACTAAAAGTGTTTTGCTACTCTCTGCTCAATGGATAGCAGCTTGTTAGGAAGATCAGATCCACCCTATGCTAGATTTTAAGAGCTGTTTTCTCTGCAAGTCTGAGGTGTGGTGTAGATCAATAAGGGACTCTGTGGCAAACTGCGAAAGTATTTCAAGAAAGTCAAGAATTACAGGACCATATAGGACTTTGAGGGAACCGGGGATGCTTTAAGGATGCTTTTGAGGCTGACATTCAGGGCAACACACTTTAACATCTGCTGTAAAGTGTCCAGGAACCATGCCATATAGATCTTCTGAGTTCTCCCTACTGGGTAGTTTTTTAGCAATAAGCTGTCTCTCTGTGGCCATATGTCAGGGGACATAGGACCTGGGTACAGGGCATGATTTCAGTTGGACCACAGCTCTGAGGACAAGGGCAGCTGTGTGTGGCTACAGACCTTGTGGAGAGCTGGAAGGGTCCCACTGCCCATTACTGAAGCAGCCACCCCAATGCCCAGCCTTCTCCTTGAAATGCATCAGAAGTATTGCTTGGACCCATTTAGGTGTCTGTAGGGTTCCGTGATGAGCAGGTCTCATCCTTTTTCAAAGGGTAGCAAGGACCCCTCTCAGCCTTCTGGGCTCGAGGAAAGACCCTGGAGAAGCTACTGGTGAGCGAGAGAACTCACACATCAGTGGGAGAAAAGATACCTGGAGATCACCTGATATCTCTCCCTACAGTGATTTCTGAATTCTCTCGCTCACCAGCAGCTTCTCCTCCCAACCCTCCCTGCTCTCTTGAATTGAGGGTACTGGTTATATTCCATTTGCCACCCCTTCTTTGGCCCCATCTGCCCTGAGATGCTGAACAATCACAGGAACTTCACACCTTGGGCCACTGCAACCTGGAAGCTGAGTTAGCTCACTTTCCTCCTGACAAAATTATTCTAGACCAGGTCAGGCCTCAGACACATCACCTCCTCTGTGCCACCTTCTTCCCTCAGTAGAATTAATCATGGATCATGCTCCCTTGGTGTTTGGAGATATGGTACATTGTGTTAGTAGTTTACCTACCAAGCTCAATCTCCTCACCTCACTGCCAAGCCTTGATATGACAGGGAGCTCTTCAAAGACAGAGACCGTGTCTCACTCACTGCTCTGAGCTATGAGAAGATGGTTAATTATCTAGATTTAATTTTTATAGAACCTTTGGAAAATGTCTTGACATTTGAATATAAGCATACAGAATTTGCTTTCCTAGGAATGGTCTTGCTCCAAATCAAATAACGAAGTCACACAGCATAGGGCCAACACAGCATGGGGGGAAGTTGTTCTACATCACTCTAGCTCCCTGTGCTCCTATTTTATGCTAGGATGGACAGAACCATTGCCCAGACTGTTTTAACACTAGCCTCGGATTTCTGTTTACCTGCTTCATTCCTTCCCTGAGGCTGCTGAGTGCTCAAGGAAATAAGAAGAACAGGAGTGCTGGAGAGAAATGAGAACTGACATTTACTCGGTGTCTCTCACGTGGCAGGCATTGTGCTGGGTAATTAGTGTCTGCTCCATGCAGTGCATAAGAAGATGGTATATTGTCTACTGCTGGGTGCAACCTTCAATGTGTCAAGAACTGTGAAGGGTCTGATATTTGATCACACTTGCAATCTAGTAACTTAGCTTGCCACAGTTTCATATATACTGACAGAAGACATGAGACTCCTGGATCAGAGACAAAGGATTTATTACTCACCCCTAGCATAGCAAGCAGCATGAGCTTCATGCTTGTGTGGATTCTCCTCGCCCTGTAAGTCCCATGAGGCTAATACGAAGAGGCCCAGGTGGATGCAGTGTGTGCGTTTCACAGCTGAGAAACCTCAAGACTAGGAAGTTCCAGTTTTTTGTAATGAGCTGCAAACAAACCTCCTCAAACTTTGACCTAGAGGGAGGCAGTGTCTTTATTAGACTGGGCGGTGAACAAACTTGCTGTTCACTCCAGAGGGAGGCACTGTCTCTATAGTCCAAGGCTATTCATTGTACATACTTGAACAGATAATCCAGAACAAAAGCTGCACTCACAAGATGTGCAGAAGTATGAAAGACTAGTGAAGAATGATCTCCCAATACTATGTATGTATGTTAAATCACATCCATTAATTTTCTCAAATCTATTTTCTTTTGTGCTTGATGTATTAATATATGATGGAGGCATGCCAAATCTCTCACTATTATGGATTTCTCCCTGTAATTTTTTCATCTTTGCTTTTTGTATTTTGAAGCCATTTATTTTATTCACACTTTATTCTCATTACATTGGGCTTGGCAAAGTGTCATGCATCCGTGTATAGATCATGTTATTCTGTTGCTTTCAGAGGGAATTGGGATCCAGATTCTAATTGTCTCTCAGTTCAGAATCTGGATCAGAATCAGAAGAGGGTGGCCAATGCTGCTAGAGGCTGCAGGCTGCAGGCTGCAGGGAAGAAGTCAGGAAACAAGCATGGGGCTGACCGTGGGGGGCTCATGTTTCAGGGTTCTTATCTGGGCACCCAACGATCCCACATGCAGTTCGTGGGTGAGGGAGCCCACAGCAGCACCTCAAAGTGAACAGGGATGGCACAGGCCCCGGGCTGGTACTAGGCAGTTGGAAGAACAATTGCATCTGCAGAGGGAGGAACTGAAAAGACATCCTTCCATCTGTATCCCAGAATCCCGTGTAGGGCCTCTCCATCAGGACAGGGCTGGCACTGGCTCCTTGGCCTCAGGTTGGCCTCATGAGTAGTCCAGTAAAAGTCCTGCAAACTTGTCACGTGCCAGCTCCACTGTGTACCCGTCTGCTTGAGATGCTGGACAATCACTTTAGACTGTTCATGATTCTTCCTCGACTCTTCAAGAGATTTCTTCAAATTTAAGAGATTCTTTTAGGAAACTGTGGATCTCCTGGTCACTCCAAGTATTAATGAACTTGTTGGATAGTTTTTCTGGTTCCTCGGTTTCATTTTCCTCCTTTACTTCCTGGGGGTTTCTAGTGATTTCAACCTGAAGTCTTACTTCTTCCATTTTATTTCTGAGTTTTCTCCTGGGATTCTTTTCACTGCGGCCACAGGGCTTAATCTTGGGTTGCCAAAGAACTAGCACTCATTCTGTGCTAACGGAACCCAGGAGTGTTGGGAGGTGCCCTTGTGGAAATATGTTTGCTGCTGTCAGTCTCTGGAGGTCTCTCATTTTGAGGCTATTTAAACAGATGCTATACGGCTTTGCAGTTGTTACATCTTCCCAGTGAATTGAACCTTTTGCCATTATGTTATCCTCTTTATCCCTGGTAATGTTTTTGTCTTAAAAATCTATTTTAGACTGGGTGTGGAGGCTCGTGCTAGTAATCTTAGCACTTTGGAAGGCCAAGGCAGGAGGATTGCTTGAGCTCAGGAGTGCGAGACCAGCCTGAGTGACATGGCAAGACCCTGTCTCTACAAAAAATACAAAAATTAGCCAGGCATGATGGCGTGTGCCTGTAGTCCCAGTTACTTGCGGGGTTGAAGCAGGAGGATCGCTTGAGCCCAGGAGATGGAGGTTGGAGTGAGCCGAGATCACACCACTGCACTCCAGCCTGAGTGACAAAAGTGAGACCCTGTCTCAAAAAAATTTCTTTTTAAATAATAAATTAAAAATATTTTTTTCTGATGTCAACTTTCTTGTGGTTGCCATTTGCCTGATCTGTTTTCCCATTTTTTGATTTTCAAATTTTCCATGTTCTTATGATCTTGGTGTGTCCCATGGAAACAGCATATGGCTGAATTTTTTAACCAAACTGGTAGCCTTGATCCTTGAAAAGGAAAACTAAGAAAAATTAAATTTATTGTGGTTTTTGATATATTTGGACTTGTTTTTAGCCATCTTACATTGTGCTGTCTGCCCCACCACTTGGTTTTTCTTTCCTTTTTTTCTCTCGTGTCTTACCTGTGACTAGTTCTTTGTTATAGAGACTAGAAAGAAAATTTTGAAAGGGAAATGGGCCACAATGTTCATCAAGAAGAAGAAAACAAAGGTTACTCTACTAAACCCCAGCACTAACCAGGCCAAATGATTTTTTTTTCTCCACCAAAATAAGGGTTAATCTTGAAAAAATTTAACCTGCTTACTTACTGCTTTTTTTTTTTTTAGTAAAATAAGAAAAAGAACAGAGAAAAAAACAAAGCCTTTTTTGCAATCAGCCAGGCAACAACTGTTGAACACCGACTTTGTGTAAACCCCTGAGCCAGAGTCTAGGACAGGGTTCCCTCCTGGAGCTTCCATGCTAAGGGGAAAAGAGACAAGTGCACAATCAAGCTAATTCACACATGAGATCAGTACCACGAGTAAATTACAGAGGGTTATGGCAGCCAGAGAGAGACTGGGGCTGAGGTGGAGGAAGCGATTTCAGAGAGGAAGGTGTGGGATCGTTTCTCTGAGCTGACCTCTGCAGGAGGGAAGGGAGGTGACCTTGGGAAAGAGCAGGAGAAAAGGGTGAAGGTGGTGCAGGCAGAAGGAATCACAGGTGATAGGTTAAGAGACAGGAATAAACTAGGTCGGCTGAAGGCAGGATGGAGGCAGGGTGGCTGGATAGGAAGGAACCGGGCAGAGCTGGATGAAGTACGAGGCAGGATCCGGATCACCACGGAGCCCCAAGGCCATGGTAAGAGACAGTTATGACCTGACTTCATTTGTAAGTTTATCATTTTGTAGAAAGAACTTTAAATAGGGTAAACAATTCATCCCAGATTGCCTAGAACATTCTCAATTTTAGCATTGAAAGTCCTATGTCCTGAGAAATCTCTTAGTTCTAAGCAAACTGGGACCACTGGTCACCTTAAGTGAATAGTGAGTATAAATCCTGGTCCACATTTAGGTCTTCAGGAAACACCACTTTATTTCCAGTAGCTCAGCCTAATTTTGCCTTAAGCCCCTCCCTTCCTGAAACGTCATATTTGAGACCACTTTTCCTTTCAGGATCACAAGGGAATCCTTATTTGACACTCATGAAACATGGTGAGGGCCTCTAGTTGGCATGATTATAACAGGTGCTCTGACTGTCCAAGACTAGCATGCCCCCTTTAGTGACTCTCTGCAGGTAAAGTCCGCTTCCTTTGTTGTGGGACTCAGGAGGACGAGAGAGACCTCACGTTGAAACAGGAGAATCTTTATTGAGTGCACTCAGGCCCAGCTGACTCACATCCAAAAGACTGGGCCCAGAACAAAGACAGCACCTGACTTTTATACACACTTCACAAAAGGGGGTGGGCTAGCTTGAAGCAAGCTTACGGTGGTGTGAAAGCAGGGACACAGAGGCAGGACAAATACAGGATTGCACATGACCGTTGCCAAGCAACCCAGATGTCCGTTATCTAGGTTTGCCTGGGCACGGGCTTATCTTATAACCTTCACTATGGTGCCCAGGCAGCTGTAGTTCAGGTCTACTCAGGCTTCTAATGACCTTCGTTGTACTTCTTAGATAAAACAGAATACTTGAAGTCACTAGTTACAGAGAACAGCAATCTATAAACTCATTCCATAAAACAAAGGAAATTTTGTCTTTCTTTTCCCTATGTTGAGGGAGGGCTGGGAGAGTCTCCAGAGCACATTAGATAATATTATCAAGACTTTTCCTGGGTCTGGGCTGTGCCTGTTGCTGCCTCTGGGACAAGTCAGCCCAATACAGGAAAACTTATTTCTCTTTCTTCTTAATTTTATTTTTCTTTAATTTCCTGCCTCACCTTAGCACCTCAGCCTGCCAAGCTCTCTGATCTGGGCACCTCCTAAGGCCTCTTCCTTGGAACCTTGACTGGGCTCCTCCCTGCTCTCGGGGATTAAGGAACTCCCTCTATTCTCAATCTAGAAAAAATCTCATCTCTGTCCTTGCTGCTGTGTCCAGACACACACACTCTCTCCCCACACCCCCCAGGACACCTCGCCAAAAGTCATCTCTGATTCAGGCTTCTGCAAAAGCTGAGATGTTGTTAGGCTGCCTTATAGCCTTTCTAGAATTCTAGAAACATGGGATTATCAAGTCTGTCTACCTGCTTGAAAAATGATGGGAGGGATGGGAGAGTGAACCAAAGAAGAAAAAGGTACAGACAGAACTTTTCAATGACTTTTTCTACACAAGGAAAAGCAGAGGGATAAGGTAGGGAGGTATTGCATATTCCAAGTGACAGAGGATGGTAGCTAGGATTAGAGAGGTGGCAGTGGAGATGGAGAGAGGGGACAGTTGTAAAGCATATTTTGGAAGTAGTGCATGCTGAGGGAGGTGGGAGATGTGGGGACAGAGGCACTCAAGGATCACGCCTTGGGTAATCCTTTCAGCTTGAGCATGTGGTGTAAATAATTTCAGTCTGAATTGGAAACTAGGGGCATATGCCCACATACCAGACCAGAATGTACAGCAGACACCATTTCTGCCTTAAGAGGGAAAGCTCTGGAAGGGGGTATGGCATTGAGGGGGACCATCTTGCGGACTGCTCCTCTTTTACGTGAGGGTGGCAGGTATACAAGCATACAAGCCACCATTGGCAGTTTATTTTTTTCAGAAACAAGGACTCACTTTGTTTCCCAGGCTGGAGTGCAGTGGCATGATCATAGTTCATTGCAGCCTCAAACTCCTGGGCTCAAGCAATCCTCCTGCCTCAGCCTCCCAAGTAGCTGAGACTACATGTATGAGCCACCATGCCTAGCCAATTAAAAAAAATTATTTTTTGTAGAGACAGCGTCTCGCTATGTTGCCCAGGCTGGTCTCAAACTCCTGGCCTCAAGCAATCCTTTCACCTTGGTCTCCCAAAGCATTGGAATTACAGGGATGAGGCACTGTGGCCAGTCCATCGGCAGTTTTATATCTTGGACGCTCTAAGGGGCCTTGGTGATATTTGTCTTTTGTAATGTGGTACTTAAAAATATGATGCAAGACAGTGATAGGATAAGCTGTGCTTTTCTCAAAAATACACAAAAATGTACTTAAACCTCTTTGAAAAGTTCAGAAAATAAACAAGATTTTAGTTACAGGTTATGTTGGGGAAGGGGAAGCCTGTTACATTTTTAGACAGCTAGAGCAGTGGGACGAACTCCTTTACTAACTTTTTCCCTTTGATATTGGTGAGAGTCAGCAGTTGATTGTTCACTGGGTCCTGAACTATGAAATGCTAGTTTTCTGGAAAGAAAGAAAAGGAAAAGAAGGAAAAAAAAATCCACTAAATAATTTCCCTTCCCTTTCTACTCCCTCCGACTCCCAAAACAAGAAACGCCAACAAAACAAACAGAAACCCAGTCCCTTACAACGTGCCCCGGGTTGAGTGAGTGAGTGGCATGTGGCCTTGGATTCTTTCTGCTCACTGCTTTGAAAACAACCTCCAAAGGAGTGGGTGGGGTGGTCCTGGTGAGACTGGGAAGCAGAGGAACAAGTCCGTCTAGAGTTTGGGGGAAAGTCAGGGGAAGTGGGAGAAGGGGAGGAGGCTGCTAGGAGCCTGGGAAAGAGGACAAAGGGCTGGAGGAATTTGAATTACACAGTGAATGTCAGCCTGCCCTTAACTACTACCAGATGCTGAGCCTGAGTTTGCAACATATGTTGGCTGAAATTGCAACACATGTTGGCCTTTTTTTTTTGGAAGCAAAGCCCTGTTATTGTGGAGTCAGAGTCTTAAAGAACTGGGAAAGCAAAGGTATTATTACCTGTCCTCATTTGCAGGGATTTCCTTTGCAAGCCTCCTGTGAGAAGGTTATCTTTCCACACAGATCTGCAAACCCAAAAGGTCAGGTCTGCATGTACCCTGCAGCCAGAAAGAAATTTCACTGGGTGAGGCTCACCGTCTGGGAACCTATGTCATCTTCCCCAGCCTGGGGCTAAAAAGTGAGCGGCCCAGACTTCACTGCAAAGAAAAAGCTCTGTGTGGTGGAGCCAGTGGTGCTGCTTGGCTGACTCAGCCCCCTTCTGGCTCTCACAGCCCCTCCGTGCCCCTTGGAGCTCCAGCCCTATCTTTCCTGGTCCCTGGCACAGGCCGTCCACACCACTACAAACGGGTGAACCGTACTCCTGGATCCTGTCCAGGCCACTCAGGAGCACATCTCTGGCCTCCATCCCTGTCCACCCCCACTTGCTATGGCTTTCGCTCTAAAACGGCCACTCCTGTGCCTGCAGCCCTGAAGCGGGAAGGCTGGGATACATCTCTAGCCGATGGAGCTGGGATGTAAAGCCAAGGTTTCTTCTGCATATGCCATAAAATTTTAAAAACACAAAAAGTAGAGAGTGAAAGAAAAAATAAGCTGCCATTCTTCCCTATTCCCTAGCCTCTCAGTTTCCCATACCATTTTCTTTTCTTTCTTTCTTTTTTTTTTTCCTGTGAGACAGAGTTTTGCTCTTTCGCCCAGGCTGGAGTACAGGGGTGTGATCTCAGCTCACTGCAACCTTCGCCTTCCGGTTTCAAGTGATTCTCCTGCCTCAGCCTCCCAAGTAGCTGGGGTTATAGGCACCTGCCACCACACCCGACTAATTTTTGGTTTTTGTTTGTTTGTTTGTTTTGTTTTGTTTTTTAGTAGAGATGGGGTTTCACCATGTTGGCCAGGCTGGCCTCGAACTCCTGACCTCGTGATCTGCCCACCTTAGCCTACCAAAGTGCTGGTATTACAGGCATGAGCCACTGCGCCCAGCTCCTATACCATTTTCTTACAACCATGATAATTCCATATATAGTCGTTTATATACACAAATGCATAGTGATGTTTTAGTCAATGATATACCACATATACACCAGTGATCCCATGAGATTATAATGGAGCTGAAAAATTCCTATCCTCATGACATCGTAGCTGTCATAACATTATAACATAATTGTTTTTTATAAATTTAGTATAGTGTACAGCAGGGGTCCTCAACCCCTGGGTCTCAGACCAGTACTGGTCCATGGCCTGTCAGGAACCGGGCCATGCAGCAGAAGGTGAGTGGCAGGCGAGCAAGCATGACTGTCTGAGCTCCGCCTCCTGTCATATCAGCAGGAGAATTAGGTTCTCATAGGAACACGAACCCTGTTGTGAACTGTGCATGCGAGGGATCTAGGTTGTGCACTCCTTATGAGAATATTTGTTTGTTTCTTTTTTGTTGTTGTTGTTATCTCCTTATGAGAATCTAACTAATGCCTGATGATCTGAGGTGGAACAGTTTCATCCCCAAACCATCACCCCACCCCTGTCCGTGGAAAAATTGTCTTTCACGAAACTGGTCCTTGGTGCCAGGAAGGTTGGGGTCTGCTGGCGTACAGTGTTTATAAAGTCTACAGTGGCATAATGTCCTAGACTTTCCCATTCACTCAGCACTCTCTCACTGACACCCAGAGCAACTTTCATCTTGTAACCTCCATCCATGTTAAGTGTCCTATGCAGATGTAGCATCTTTTGTCTTTTATACCATATTTTTACTGTACCTTTTCTATGTTTAGCTATGTTTAGATACACAAATACTTACTATTATGTTACAGTTGCCTACAGTATTCAGTACAGTAACATGCTGTATGGGTTTATAGCCTAGGAGCATAGTCTATACTATATAGCCAGGTGTGTAGTAGGTTACACCATCTAAGTTTGTGTAAGTATATCCTATGATGTTCATGCAACAATGAAATTGCCTAATGACACATTTCTCAGAATGTATGCCCATCATTAAGCAATGCATGACTGTATTATTTAAAAAAAATTTTTTAATGGTAGCATATTTTATATACTGTTCTATATCTGGCTTTTTTAATAATAATTTATCTTGGAGATATATATTATGTTCTTAGTACATTTAGAGCTACCTTTCTTTTTTTTTTGAGATGAAATCTTGCTCTATCTCCCAGGCTGGAGTGCAGTGGCACAATCTCAGCTCACTGCAACCTCCACCTCCCAGGTTCAAGCGAATCTCCTGCCTCAGCCTCCCAAGTAGCTGGAATTACAGGCACCAGCCACCATGCCTGGCTAATTTTTGTGTTTTTAGTAGAGATGGGTTTCACCATGTTGGCCAGGCTGGTCTTGAACTCCTCACATCAGGTGATCCACCCACCTCGGCCTCCCAAAGTGCTGGGATTACAGGCGTGAGCCACCGTGCCTAGCAGAGCTACTTTTCTTTTTAATGGCTGCATAGTGTTCCACTCATACCCATGATGGTTATTTATTTATTTATTTATTTATTTATTTATTTATTTATTTTGAGATGGAGCTTCTCTCTTTTGCCCAGGCTGGAGTGCAGTGGCAGGTTCGTGGCTCACTGCAACCTTTGCCTCCTGGGTTCAAGTGATTCTCCTGCCTTAGCCTCCTGAGTAGCTGGGGTTACAGGTGCATACCACCACGCCTGGCTAATTTTTTGTATTTTTAGTAGAGATGGGGTGTCACCATGTTGGTCAGGCTGGTCTCGATCTCCTGACCTTGTGATCTGCCTGCCTTGGCCTCCCAAAGTGCTGGGATTACAGGCATAAGCCACCATGCCCAGCCCCGGTTATTTTTTGTTTTATTTATTTATTTTGAGACAGAGTCTCGCTCTGTCACCAGGCTGGAGTGCAGTGGTGCAATCACGGCTCACTGCAACCTCTGCCTCTCGGGTTCAAGCGATTCTCCTGTCTCAGCCTCCCAAGTAGCTGAGATTACAGGCATGTGCTACCACACCTGGCTAATTTTTGTATTTTTAGTAAAGATGGGGTTTCACCATGTTGGCTAGGATGGTCTCGATCTCTTGACCTTGTGATCCACCTGCCTTGGCCTCCCAAAGTGCTGGGATTACAGGTGTGAGCCACTGTGCCTGGCCTGCCCTGGTTATTTTTATGTCAACTTGGCTGGGCCACAGAATGCCCAGCTACTTGGTCAGACATTATTTTGGATGTTTCTGTGAAGATGCTTTTGGATGAAACTTACATTTAAATCAGTGAACTCTGAGTAGGTAGATTGCCTTTCACAACACAAATGGGCCTCATCCAATTACTTGAAGGTCTCAGTAGAACAAAAAGTTGACCTTCCCCAATTAAGAGGGAATTCTGCCACAGACTGCTTTCAGACTTGAATTGCAATATCAGCTCTTTCATGTATCTCCAGGCTCAGTGCCTTTAAAGTCAAACTGCAACTGTTTCCTGCATTTCCAGCCCACTGGCCTCCCCCATTAGATTTTTGGCTTGGCAAACTTCCACAATCATGTGAGCCAATCTCTTAAAATAAATTTCTTCAAAAATACACAACACACACATACACACTTTCACTGTTTCTCTGAAAAATCCTGACTAATATAACACCATAGTCTATCTGACATAGTCCATTAATGGACACAGGTTTTTTCATTTTCCTGCTATTACAAACAATGCTGCAATGAATAAATATGTCATCATGCACGCGCCAAGCCCATATTTTAACCACTGTGTTATTTTGCTTCAGTACAAAGGAATTTAGAAAATCCCTCCAAGCAATAGCCAGGCTAGCTTGGGTATGTCTTGCTACAAATCTTAGTGTCATTAGTCACTAGGAAAGTGCAAATTGCAATCAAAATAAGCTATCCTTATGTATTAGTCCATTCTCGCATTACTATAAAGAAATGCCTGAGATTGAGTAATTTATAAAGAAACTATGTTTAATTGGCTGACAATTCTGCAGGCTGTACAGGAAGCATGGCAGCATCTGCTCCTGGAGAGGCCTCAGGAAACTTACAATCATGGCGGAAGGCAAAGGGGAAGCAGGCACATCTTACATGGCTGGAGCAGGAGGAAGCAGGGGGAGGTGCTACACACTTTTAAACAACTAGACCTCACGAGAACTCTATCACAAGACAGCACCAAGGAGATGGTGCTAAACCGTTGGAAACCAGCCCCATGATCCAATCATTTCCCAGTAGGCCCCACTTCCAACACTACAATTCAACATGAGATTTGGGCAGGGACACAGATCCAAACCATATTACCTTATATGCACCTACTAGAATGGTTAAAAGTATAGACTGGCCATATTAAGTGTTGGTGAAGATATGGAGCAACTGGAACTCACCCTGTTAGTGGGAGTATAAAATGGTGCAACTACTTTTTGGAACAGCCAATTTCTTAAAACAATAAAAATACATCTATGAGGTGACACCGACATTACACTCCTAGGTATTTTCCCAAGAGAAATGAAAGCATATGTCCGCACAAAGACATGCACACAAACGTTCATAGCAGCTTTATTTGTAGCAGCCAAAAACTGGAAACAACCAAAGGCCCATCAACTGGTAAATAAACAAATTGCACTGTATCATACAATGGAATTTTACACAGCAATAAAAAGGAGGGAACTATCAATTCCTGCAGCAATAAAAATGAGTCTGAAAATAATTATGCAGAGTGAAAGAAACCAGACAAAATGTGTAAATACTGTATGATTCCACTTATATAAAATTCTAGAAAATGCAAATTAATCTGTAGTAACAGAGAGCAAATCAGTGCTTGCCTGAGAACCGAGTTGGGGAGCCAGGAAACTTTTGGAGGTGAGGATATGTTCATTATTTTGATTGTGATGGCCATTTCACTTACGTTGAAACTCATCAGATTGTACACTTTCAATATATTCAGTTTATTGTATTTCAATTATATATCAAAAAACTATAAAACTCTTATTTTGAAAGTCAAAAGGTGAATAATAATGTTTTTGTTGTTTTGGTAAGTATTTTAGAACAATCTTAATCTCTCCATGTAAATGAATGCCTTAGGCAGATAGAGAGAATGTCAGATATTCAGAAAAGTAAAAGAGAAAAAGCACATTAATATTTTTCCAAAATATCGTCCCAGTTGCAAATTTATATTGTGAGTGTGCCCCCGACTCCCACACTGCCCTTCAGTTTCATGGCCCACCACACCCCAAGGCCATCCGAGCTGCACCATGCTGAACTAGCAGTTTTCCAGACACACCAGGCTGTGGTTACCATGATGGGTAGAGCAGGCAAAGCTAGGACCTGCTGCAAAGTCTCCAGAGAAGAGGCTCACTCTGCAAGATACCTGAGGATGTCCAAGGGCCCCATGCTCTTCCCTGATCTGAACTGAATGCTTCTTGCCTGGCCCTAAGCTGTGAAAGAGAAAGATGAGTCAGTACCACAGTGCTTGGCAAGATGCCAGCAAAGAGGCTGGGCACTCCTCACCACTTGGCAGCCTGGGCAAATGCCCACCTGCCAGGCCCATACAGGCCCTTGGCAGCTGCCCAGGTCCAGGGCTGGGTGCTGGGATGAGCAACAGAAAGCGGCTTTATGAAGCTCTTACTGTCAGCACAGGTCAGAGGCCAGAAGAAAATGGATGCACCGAGAGAAGAGAGGAAAGCTACACTCTGCAGGCAAGGGCCGAGCCAGTTCCCCAACACGCTGGCCCAGCCCTCTTTCATGGCTGCATGCCAGAGAGGCTGGGGCCTCTTCCAGATTCTCATGCTCTCTGTAATTCAGCAAGCCCCAAACTTGGTGGCCTGGGATTGTCCGGAAGCAGAAGACTAGGGCAGACTTTGACCTCTTCTATGTAGTTGTCACTGACATCCATTGTTCTTGGTGTCTGGAACTCCCTCCTTCCCCAACCAGCCCACATCTAGTTCCTCAACCCCTGGCAGAAGGGTCTGCTGGGCTTGTTATGCTTCTCTTGGACTTCAGAGGACAATATTCTCCATTTTATGAGCTAAACACCAGAGGTTAACATATCGTGCCCATCATCTGTGCACCCAGTAGGGACAAATGTCAATGGAAACTGCATTATTTATTATTTTTAAACATTATAGTCCGGGTGTTTGGCAAATCTATTTTTAGGATGAAGAGAGAGATGCTGAAAAGCTGAGATCTTGAAAACAAAAACGCCAAGGATTCTGGTTTCTTTGATTTCACTCGCTGAGATCCCCTTTTCAGCCCAGGACTCTGCCCACTCTCCTATTGTGCAGGGTTGCTGTCGCTTACACACACAGGATCTTTAAGTTCCCTGGAGACTCACAAACTTGGTTATGCTTGGTTATTTGTCTTGATTTTAGATGTTCAGCAGTAGCTATTAAATTGAATGGTGAGGGGTGGTAGAATATTTCACTCTCAGTAGTAAGTATTTAGAAGATCCTACCATTAAAAGCAATGTGGGGTAAACTCAGTGTACAAAGAATCCCAAGATCAAGTACTTGTGAGGTATTAAAAACCCACCGAAGGCAAAATCACTCAGAAGCCTCATTTGACCTTGTCCTGAATGTGGCAGGGATAGTAGGGGCAAATGTATTCCGCTCAGTTAGGAAATGTTTGACACATATGGTCAAGATCATTACAGCCTGGACTAGAGAACTAGGGAGATGTGTTTCATATTTTTCAGAAATAATACGGAGCCTAAGGATCAGACCAGAGGTGTGCCTTACCCACTATGTCTGATCCAACAGTATATTGGTCAGGGTTCAACCAGAGAAACAGAACCAGTAAGAGGTATGCACTAAGAGATTCTTGCAAGAAATTGGCTTCCACAGTTGTGGGGGCTGGCTGGGTGAGTCTGAAATTCCTAGGGCAGGCCTCAGGGAAGGGCAGGCCTCAGGGAAGGGCAGGCTGGGACTTTGGGGTGTGGCTGAAGCTGCTGTTACAGGTAGAGTTTCTTCTTCTACAGGGAAGAAGAAATTATATGCCCCAGATGATCTAGAATAATCCATTTTACTTAAATCAACTGATAATGGACTTTAATCATGTCTACAAAATACCTTCACAGCAACACTTAGATTAGTGTTTAATTGAATAAATGGAGACTGCTACTCAATCAGGGTGATACTTTAAAAAGCCATCACAACAGATTCCGCCTATGGGCCTCTGTCTAAGCCATTTCCAAGGCCCTCTTGAGAAATCTGGTGGATCAGTAGGTGAGGCAGCAACTGGGGCACCTGAAAGGTAAGTTCCCTATGATGTAAGGGTGAAGGTAAGTCCCCTACAATGAAGGGGTGAAGGGAGGGCCCCCAGCCCAGACCGTCAGGCACCACCCGGCTGTACACCTTTATACCATGGAATTTCAGGAAGCCCAGAGCCCCAGAACTGGGTGAACCTGTAGACACTCCTAGTCAAACTCTCTCATTGTCCATTAGGAAACCTATGGCCTGCATCAATGAAATAGCCAAGATCAACCAGAAAAAGAATATTGGTCTCCCATCTGCAAGACTGGGGAAAAAATTAGAAGACTGAGGGGATGAGGAAGGAAAGAAAACAGCCTAATGGAGAAGATCCTCAAACCTCAGACCTGGAAGTGAGCCTGGGGCTTCCCTAGTCTACCCCTGCATTGCACAGATGGGGAGACTGAGGCCCTAAGAGGCGGAAGAACTGACTCAAGCTCACTCTGTGAGTTGAGGGTGGAACTGGAACTGAACTCAGACCCACACCTCCTGGCAAAGTGCTCAATGCCCTCTGCCCGCGCAGCCCTCCTGCTCTCCTAACAAGCTAGAGACACTAAAAGCTGCCTCTCCAGGAGAATCGCTTGAATCCGGGAGGCAGAGGTTGCAGTGAGCCAAGATCGTGCCACTGCACTTCAGCCTGGCGACAGAGCAAGACTCCGTTTCAAAATACATACATACATACATGCATACATACATACATACATACATACATACATACATACATACAAAAGCTGCCTCTCTAACCCCCAGACATTTTGAATTCATGTTTTTGCCACAAAGTGTTCTTGGAATCAAAGAATCAATTCATTAATCTGGGTAATTAGTTTAGGAACCAGAGGGCTTGGAGACTGTGCTGTGAGAACAATTCCAAGCTCAGTCTCTACACTGAAAAACCTAACTACCTCTGACCTGTGTCCACAGGTGACACCTCAGCCTCAGCCAGGAAAAAGCTGGAGGCTCTGCACACGCCTCCCCCATCCCGCCCTCCCCAGTTCTTACCCCCAGAGGGACATATGGCTCAGGACAGGTATCCTGTGGGCAGTGGGGCAGGGACACCCTCCTCCTGTTCCTCTCCTGTATTTTACAAATGGCAACATGGAGCACAGAGAAATAATCTGTTCATGGCCATCCCACAAGCTAATGACTAAAAATTCTAGTCCTCTGTATTAGTTTGTTATCACGCTGCTGATAAAGACATACCCGAGACTGGGCAATTTACAGAAGAGGTTTAATCGACTTTCAGTTCCACCTGGCTGGGGAGGCCTCACAATCGTGGCAGAAGGTAAAAGGCAGTCTCACATGGCAGCAGACAAGAGAAGAGAGCTTGTGCAGGGAAACTCCCCTTTATAAAACCATCAGATCTCATGAGACTTACTCACTATGATGAGAATAGCATGGGAAAGCCCCGCCCCCATGATTCAATTACCTCCCACCGGGTCCCTCCCATAGCACGTGGGAATTCAAGATGAGTTTTGGGTGGGGACACAGCCAAACCATATCCTCTATTTCTCATTTCAATGTTTTTCTTTCTTATTTCAATGTTTTTCTTTCTTTCTTTTTTTTCTTTCTTTTTTTTTTTTTAACATTCATTTCCAGTTGATTCCAGCAGGGCAGCCCAGCACTTAGACAAGTCTACCCTGAAAGTGTCTGAAAGTGCTCAAAGTTTTCTTACTGAGTGTTAGTGGCCAGATGGAAGGTAGGCAGGCTTGGGAGGCTCAGTGAAGTATCATCTAGCTACGCCAAAGCTTACGTTAGAGGAGAAGTATTTAAGTATGGGTTTGAGGCCTCATGCTTCAAAAGAATCACACAGAGAAATATTGTGGGCCTCTGGGAGAAATTTGAGCCTTGGCTGGCTGCAAAGCTGCATAAACAGTGGTGATGACTGTGGTTAATCCAAACCCCACTCCGAGCTCTGCAGAGTCAGTTCTGCCTATGGCTCATGAAATCCCCACTCATTACTGAACCCTTTTAGGGAGGAAGAAACTGACACAAGTAGCAGAGGCAGAAAGCCACCCTGGTCACATCATGCAACTGCTGGGAGATGCCCTGTGTCATAAAAGGTCACATTTCTAAACGGCTAATGCTAACCCCAGATGCCAAAGCTGGGCAGAAGCAGGTTTGCAGAGCTCTCTAGAATACGTGTTCTTGTGAGCTTCAATGGCCCGGTTTTCTGCAATTCAGGGCAGATGACTCCATGTCTGGGTTGCCCATCCATCAGCAAAGATTTATCAAGCTGGGCTAGTGTTAGGTGGTTTGGTATATAAAAAGATTTAGAAACATGTCCCATCCCTCCAGGAGTTTGGTCTAGCCAAGGTAGTAAGACAAACTCACACCCAGATACTGAATAAAACCAGCCGGATGTGCTCTTGCCCAGCAGCAGGCGTGGACTCTGCCCGCACAGGGAATGTGAATGGTGCCCTCTGCAGTTGTGCACCACCATGGCCCAGGCTGGGGAGCTCAGAGGAAGAGCAGATCCCAGTGGGCTGGGCTGGGCAGGGCAGGGCAAGGAGGGTGGCTGTTCTATGCCCACATCCCTCTTCTTCCTTTCTCAGGTGGCAGTCACTGGCTGAGTTTTCTAGCCAATGGCAGAGGGCATGAGACCCAGGGACAGGCCTGGTGAAGGGCTGGATAAAGGAGCATCACAGGGGAGGCCCACTGACCTGGCCACGCTTCCTATTCATGCCAAGTCCCATGGGGCGTTCTGTAGCATCGCTGCACCCCAGCCAGCCAGTCTTCAGCCTTCTGTCCCTCTGTCCCTCTGTGCCCCTTGAATGGGGCCCATCGTAGGTTGACTGGGCTAGCTCTTTGCCCCGCTTGTTGATGCCACTTGTCATTTCCCATTTTTCCAATCAATCATGTGATGTGAAGGGCAAAAGGAAAGTGCCAGCTTTCCCAAATGCCTCCCCTGATGCCTTTCCAGAGGGAACTGTGAGAAGTAAATGTTGTTTATTAGTCACCGGGTCTATTGTATTCCACTATAGAAACCCACATGGACTAAAACATCAGTCCAGCTTCCCTGGATGGTTTCCCGGAATCCACCTCCCATCTCATGAGATGGCAATGGCTATCACAGCTCGGAGGAATCTGACTCCACTTTCACTATGAAAGTTTTGTCATGTTGAGCTTTTATGAAGTTACATTTACTTCTTGGATTAACTTAGAAACAGCCAAATTATACCCATTTCTTGGAGTCTATAGCTGTGTTTTAGTTTGCCCTTCTTTTAAAGGAAAGTCTAGAATCCAATGCTAATAAATACTTTGATTAAAATGTACTCCTTTTAATGAGATCATGTCCTTTGCAGGGACAGAGATGGAACTGGAAGCCATTATCCTCAGCAAATTAACACAGGAACAGAAAGCCAAACACAGCATGTTCTCACTTAAAGTGGGAGCTAAGCAATGAGAACACATGGACACAGGGAGGAAACAACACACACTGGGGCCTGTTGGGGGCGGGGGGCATTGCGGGGAGGGAGAGCATCAGGAAGAATAGCTAACGGATGATGGGCTTAATACCTAGGCGATGGGTTGATCTGTGCAGCAAACCACCACGGCACACATTGACCTATGTAACAAACCTGCACATCCTGCACACGTACCCCAGAACTTACAATAAAAGTTGAAGACAAAAAAAAAACCTATACTCTTTTTAAGCTACACAAAAGGAAAGGAACAGATCTTCCTCACACCCCTCAAAAGAAATGAACTCGACAAACACCTTCATCAGGAAGGTTGCCAGAACTATGAGATAATCCATTTCTTGTTTAAGCCACCCAGTTTGTGGTCTTTTGCTATGGTAGCCCTAGCAAAACAATGCAGATGGTTTCTCTTTTTAAATTGTGTAGCCAATATCTTTTTGCTCCTCCTCTGAAATAAACCAGGTTCCAGGAGGACTTGGGTGCCACCAGGTCTGCTCACCGAAATCCATTGACAAGATGCCACACATTTCCACTACATGGTGAGTCCCTCACTTTAGGAATCATGTTTACTGATGCTTTCTGGATTCTGCTGCCACTTGAACCTCATAGCTCTTTGCCAGTTTCTCCTATATGGCTTCTGTCTAATCTTAGCTGCTCTCAGCAGCCCTGATTCATATTTTGAAGGCTATGGATTATATCTGCTCCCAAATTTGCTGAAGATAAGTTTACATTTTTTGTTGTTTTTGTAGCATTTAAAAAAGAAAAAAAGAAGAAAGATGCTGAATCTATGTTACCACATTCACACCAGAAGTCCTTAAAGTTAACATTTAATCCCATAATCCTAAGTAGTGAATTCAGCAAAGCGCATGGAAAGCACTTTTCCCATGGTGATAATTACATAGTGCTTTTCATCTTCAAGGTAGTTGGCCAACACTTACTAATTAATTCTTCTAATACCCTGGAGCAATTAAAAATAAAAACCACACATTTAATTTGACTAGAGGAGATAATTACCAATATCAGCAGACAAGAAATCCTGCAAGGGACTAGAGATGAATAATTAAATTGTGGTGGAAATATTTCAAGGCATGATTGCCTTCTGCTTTCATTACAGTAAGAACATTAAACCTTGATTAAGAAAGAAATCTTATTTCCCTTTTACAGGTGAAGAAACTGAGATTCAGACAAGGAGCTTTTTGTTAAGCAAATACTAATTAGCCAATAATCTAAATGGAAGTTAATGGAGAATTGTTTAAACTCAGTGCTATGGTCTGAATGTTTGTGTCCCTCCCAAATTAAAATTAAAATTCTAACCCCAAGGTGATGGTATTAGGAGGTGGATCCTTTGGGAGGTGATTATATCATGAGGGTGGAACCCTCATGAATGGGATTAGTGCCCTTATATAAAAACCCCCTCACCCCTTCAACTATGTGAGGACACAGCAAGAAGATGCCATCTGTGAACTGGAAAGCAGGCCCTGATCAGACTCCAAATCTACTGACACCTTGATCTTGGACTTCCCAGTCTCCAGAACCATGAGAAATAAATTTCTGCTGTTTATAAGCTGCTCGGTTTATCGTAATTTGTTATAGCAGCCTGAATGGACTTAACACCTATGGTATTAAGAATTTTGAGGCCAGGCATGGTGGCTCATGCCTGTAATCCCAGCATCTTGGGAGGCTGAGGTGGGTGGATCAATTGAGATCAGGAGTTCGAGACCAGCCTGGGCAACATAGTGAGACATCGTCTCTATTTTAATTTTTTTTAATGAAAAGAAAAAAGAATTTGAAAATCCTAAATCTGCTTTTCGCCTCTATTAAAAAATCTTCAGGTGGCAGCTCTTAGTATCCTAGAGTCACATTCTGAATATTTGTAACCATTGTCCACAAGGGCAGTCAGAAGGCTCAAGTTAGTGGTTTCTAAACTTACTTTTTGGTCTAAAACCTCTTCATACTCTTAAAAATTATAGAGGACAATGAAGAGCTTTTGTTTATCTAAGGTAACTACTGATATATCCTTTACTAGAAAGGAAAATAGAGACAATTTAAAAATATTTCTAAATTGATTTTAAAATGACAACAATAAGTCCATTATTGGTTAATATAGACAACATATTTTTATAAAAAATAACTACATTTTTCAAAATATAAAAAAAGCTTGCAAGAAGAGTGGCATTATTTAATATTTTGCAAATCTGCTTAATGTTTTGCTTGATAGAATAGATAGAATAAATGTGGATAAAACAGAATAGATAGAATAGATACATGTGGATTCTCATATCTGCTTCTGAACTCAATCTGTTGCGATATGTTTTTTGTTGAAATATAAGAAGAAAATCCAGTCTTATAGATACGTAGTTGGAAAAGTGAGGAGTATTTTATGAGCCTTTTTAGATAATTGTGGCTATTCTTTTTTGATTCTATACGAAAACATAGTCAATGGTAATTCCTTAAAAGGTCAGTTGCAGTGTGGAATCTGAAACCTACCAGTAAACTTTTCAAACTGTTACATTAGAAATCATTGGTCTATCTTGCATTTGACTGGCTCTTTTATTTATGCATGATTTTATAAGATTATGCCTTGGTTCTTTGGCAAATGGCTCATTTAATTATGCAGATAGTCAAATGTTGATAATATTAGACAAAAACAAAAATCACATCAGTTTATTTTACCTCGAATCTCATCATAAAAGTCTTGAATTATCACTGTCAAGTTCATGGTGGTGGACACAATTTCTTCCAAATCTCTCATTTTCCTCTTGAAAGCTCTAGTTTAATCACTGCTCACAAATACTCTAGTTGCTTTCCTTGAAGGGACAGACAGGCTTACTTCATTCATTTTCAAGAAAATGACTGCCAAATACTCATGTCTGAATATTAATATTTGCCTGTCAGTCGTTCTTTAAAACAAAATAGTACTCCATGAAAAAGCGGCTAGTTCGGTTCCCCTGCCTTGGCCTCCCAAAGTGCTAGGATTACAGGTGTTAGCCATGAGCCCAGCGTTGCTATATTTTAATTAATTAACTTTTTTCCATTTTATTTTTAGTTGACACCATTATATAAATTCACAGGATACAGAGCAATATTTGGATACGTGTGTAATGAGCAATGATCAGATCAGGAAAGTTAGCATATCTATCACCTTGAATATTTATCATTTCTTTGTGTTGTGCACATTCAAAATCCTCTCTTCTAGATTATTGAAAATATGCAGTACATTTTTGGTAACTATATTCACCTCACAGTGCTGCAGAACACTAGAATTTATTCCTCCTATCTAGCTGTACAGTACTTTTGTATCTGTTAACCAGCCTCTCCCCATCCTCCTCTCCCTCCTTCTCTTCTCAGTCTCTAATAATCTTTATTCTACTCTCTACCTCTGTGAGCTCCATTTTCAGCTCCCACATATGAGTGACAGCATGTGGTATTTATCTTTATGTACCTGATTTATTTCACGTAACATAATGTCCTCCAGGTTCAGGTATGTTGCTTCAGTTGACAGGATTTCATTCTTTTTATGGCTGAATAGTATTTGATTGTGTATATACATTTTCCTTATCCATTCATCTGTTGATGTACACTTAAGTTGATGTACACTTAAGTTGATGTACACCAACTTAAGTATATTCCATGTCTTGACTATAGTGAATAGAGCTGCAATGAACATGAGGGTGCAGGTATCTCTTCAATATACTAATTTCCTTCCCTTTGGATAAATACCCAGTAGTGGGGTTGCTGGGTCATATGGTAGTTCTATTTTTAGTTTTTTGAGAAACTGCCATACTGTTTTTCCATAATGACTATAAATCAACTTTTGACATTAATTATTGGCTTCCATTGTGGTAGATGAAGACCGATCACTCTTGGACTGTCATCTGTTCCCCTTCCTCCTAACCCTCCCAAAATATACATATCTCAATGTTTTATAAAATACCCAATATTCAATGTTTATTTGATTATGCCCATGTAATTACTATTCACAGCTACACACTGTGGTACACTCTGATTACATTGCTTTTCTAAATTTTTGTTTTTCTTGAACTTATACTAATTGCCTTGTTTACTAAATTGCTTAATTTTCTTTGTGCTTGTCATTTGCTCAGTTTTGCCACACTTTCCCAATGCCTTTCATTGTAGTTTTCCTGCCAGATCTACCCGATTAGGTAGCCTATCAGTGCTAATTTCTTTCTTGCTCCCTGATACCTTCATTCTCTTCTATTAGTACTGGTGGCTTCCTAGGCCCCCTGCACAGCTGTCATCCTGAGACTTCCTTTTGCTTTCATCTTATGAAATTTCCTCGGCTTTTGTCCTAAGTTTGATTTCTGGTTTTTTGGTTCTCATCTCTTCCTCTTGGTTTTCTCCTTTTTTTTGGTGGAGTACATCCTCAAGTAGCTTCATTAAGATAAAAACTCAGTAGAATTACAGAAGGCAAAAATGATGATCGTGCTCCAATCTGAAATGGTTGACCTCTACACCTAATGTACAGTCTTCATACTGAAATCTCTATTATTCTCTGGAGTCTTCATCCACATCTCACTTATGTTGGATATCCTGTTTTCTGCATCCCACATTTTCCTCTTTAATGTACTCATTTCATTTTGATGGAGCATAACATCTGGTGGCTGAGAAAAAGATGTTTAGGAGGCAAATTTTTTGAGACTTATCTGAAAATGTGTTTATTATATCCTTATACTTGACAGTTTGGCTGTGTGTAGAATTATAAATTGTAAACATTTTCTATGCAGAATTTTGAAATAAAATCTCTATTGTGTTCTAGAGTCCAGAGTTGTTGAGAAGGCTAAGGCTATTTGACTATGAATTTTTCTATATGGCTCATAGAAATCTTCTCTTTGAAGCTCATAGAATCTTCTCTTTGTCCCCACTGTCTTGAAATTTCACTCAGATGTGCCTTTACATGGATCTATTTTATTCCAAAAATATGGTCACTCAGCAGATATTTTCAGTCTTGGAAATTCATTCTTTCAGATCTAGGAAATGTTGTTATGATGATGACTTCCTCTCTCTTTCAGAAATTCCTATTATTCAGATACTGGATATCTTGGACTAATCCTCTAATTTTAATTTTATTCGTTCTTATTTTACATGTCTTTGTCTTTTGATTTGCTTCTGGGAAACTTTCTCAACTTTGTTTTCCAATCTTGAGTTTTTCATTTCTGCTCCCATGCTGTTAATTTCTAAGAATTTTTTGTCCTGTATAATTGTTATGGCACCTTATTCTTGATGTATGCTCAGAGTGTCTTTTTTTTCTTTTCTAAGTTCTCTTGACATTTTCTCCTAGACCCTATTTTCCAATTGTCTGGCCTCTGTCTTCCATGCTGAGGGATTTACTTAGAGCCTGGTATCCCTACATTATCTGTTCTCCATTAGGAGTGGGGAATTGAAAGACTGGCTGTAAACTCTGACGATATTGGTGAGATTTGTCAACTTTGAGCTTCACTTTAATCTATCTGAAGGGTTGGAAAACTACCAATGCCATTATCTTTAGGTCTTTCCTCTTGGATGGGTCATGGAGTGGATCGGCTTTTGTGGGGCTAGAAACTTACACAATTAGGGACTTTTTTTTGTTTGTTTTTGTTTTTGAGACAGAGTCTTACTCTGTCACCTAGACTGGAGAATAAGTGGTGCGATGTTGGCTCACCTCTGCCTTCTGGGTTCAAGTGATTCTTGTGCCTCAAGCCTCCCGAGCAGCTGGGACTAAAGACATGAGCCACCATGCCCAGCTAATTTTTGTATTTTTTGTATAGATGGGGTTTTGCCATGCTGCCTAGGCTTGTCTTGAACTCCTGAACTCAAGCGATCCGCCCACCTTGGCCTCCCAAAATGCTGGGATTACAGGTGTGAGCCACATACCTGGCCAGGAAGCTAAATTATTTCTATCAAGATGAACTGTGAATCAATTAAACCTCTTTTCTTTATAAATTACCCAGTCTCAGGTAGTTCTTTATAGCAGTGTGAAAATGGACGAATACATGGGGAAATCATCTTGTAAATAAGTGACAGCTGGGAAAAGATAAAAGGAGAAAAGAGCCTGACACACAGCCCTCAACAACACCAATATTTAGGGGGATGGACAGTAGAGGAGGGAACTACGAAGAACAATAAGAAGGAGCTGCCTGAGAAGTACACAGAAAAAAATAGTGGATGGTTAATCAGAAGCCAAGAAAGAATTTCTAGCTCTAAGGAAGAGTCAACAAGTAAATGCTTTAGGAGATGGGATGAAGACTGAAAATGCTCATTGACTTTTTCCCCTGTAGACTATATACACTCCAGGAAAGGTGCAATATCTGCCTTGTTCGTTCTTTCTTTTAATACCTTTTTTATTTTAGATTTTTGTGGCTACACAGTAGGTATATATTGTGTTGTTCATTCTCGTATCATCACATGGAATAGAATAGATCCTCAATAAAAATAAGTTAAAGTAATGTGAATAGACTAACACATTTAAAAGAGAAAAATAGATTAAACTATGTTAGCTAAAGAGCTTCAACCTCACTCTAATTTCTTTCGTTGTGAGTTTTCCTAAGCTATTTTCTCCTAAAAATGTTAACTTTCCTTTCCCCATCCCCAAAAGATGGGTTGTTTTGCCAATAGTACCTTACAATTTTCTCAAAAAAGGTGTATATATTAGATAAAAATTATCTAGACAAAACTCCATAACCGTATTTCACCCCTCTAATCCCGTTATGTATGCTATTGTTGTGCCAAACTCCTACTAACCTCAATAGAGAAGGTACCAGGTTCAAGAGGCCAAGAAGAGACTGGAGAGCCAGTAAATGAGACATGGGTTTGTATTAGGAGCTTACAGTCCAGTGGTGACAGAGGGGAAAGAGTCCAGTGGCAGCGGGCTGGACAGAAGAACCAGCTATGTATAGAAGTGGTCCAGTGGCAGTGGGGTGGACAACACATCTCCCTTCCTGCTGTCCTCTGGCAGCGGGCTGGACAACATAATTGCACGTCCCAAGGGCAGGAAAACCGCAACTGCCTGTAAACATCATGCAGTTTATACAGCATTTTCACTGAACACCCTCCCACTAACGACCTCCACTTGGCAACCTGCATTTAACCCAAAACTCAGGGCCCTAATCCCCTGTATGGCCCATGTTCCAATGGATGGGCCGGTGGGTGGGGGTGGGGGTTTAAGATGTTTATCATAGACACAGAACAAATCTCCAGGTTGGCCACTCCCAGATTCCCTAGCTCAGAGCACACATTCAGGTGCATCTACCATACAGGGTCATTCTCAGGGTATGCTTACATTATTGCTATCAGATGCGTTTATGTTGCAGGTCTCTAATGATTTACACCTCCCTGGTTCCTTGCCTGGGGTAGTCCCAGTACAGGGAGAACAGCCCTTACGAGCTGATCTGATGCCATGTTAGGTACACCTGATTTTGAATTCATTTTGGCTTTTAGAGAAATCGGATAATTTCCCGATTTTTTTTTTTTCTTTTTTTTTTGAGACAGAGTTTTGCTCTTGTTGCCCAGGCTGGAGTGCAATGGCGAGATCTCGGCTCACCGCAACCTCCACCTCCCAGGTTCAAGTGATTCTCCTGCCTCAGCCTCCCAAGTAGCTGGGATTACAGGCATGTGCCACCACGCCCAGCTAATTTTTTGTATTTTTAGTAGAGACGGAGTTTCTCCGTGTTGGTCAGTCTGGTCTTGAACTCCTGACCTCAGGTGATCCGCCTGCTTCAGCCTCCCAAAGTGCTAGGATTACAGGCGTGAGCCACCGCGCCCGGCTCCCCTGATCTTATCTTTGTATTCTTTTTTATTGTATTGTATTTATTTCTGTCTGCCACATTTCATATCAAGACAGAATAACAGTGCTGCACATTAGGATCACCTAATTTTAAAATTGACATTTTAAAAATGTCAATGCCCAGGTCTCACCCATGACAGTTAAATCAGAAGGTCTGGAATAGTAAGCAGGCATCAGTGGTTAGTAAAGATCCTCAGGTGATGCCAATGTGCAGCAAAGTTTGGAAACTATTGGCACAACAGGTTTTAATCTCAGTTGTGACACTGGCCTTGCAATCTTGGATATGTAATTTAACTTCTCTGTAGAGTTAAATAACGTAAGAGTACCTATCTCAGTTAGTTGTAGGAATGAAATGATTGAAAATAAAGTGATTGGATCTGTGCCTAGAACAAAATAAGGGATACGAAATTGTGGGGCGGGGTTAAGATAATCTACTCCCTACATAAGTAGAGAAATGTCATAATTCATTCTGAGTTAGCCAGCCACACCCCATCCTTTAGCGTGGGCGGGCTTAACTACTGCTTCCCAGATGGTTTGAAAATAAGCTCCATGGACAACTCCTTCAGTGGTGAATAGTCTCTGCTCTCCTAAAATTTGTATTTTATTGGGGAGATAATCAACAAATACATACATAATTTCAGGCAGTGTTCAAAGAAGCCATGCCAAAGAAATAACCTTTACTCTGAATTCAGTGTGGTCTCTGGCTAAGAATATGCCCTGGCAGAAGGGAAGCCCTTTCTATTCTCTGAAAAGAAGTGTGTTTACCAAAGCATTAAATGATAAATACATTTTTTAACGGTGAAGTCACAGGTCTCACAGAAATACAAAATGAACACGTGTAAAAAATTTATTTACTCATTAACCCGGGGACCAGTAAGCTGTTAGAACCAGCTCTAAGCAGAATTTAAAGCACCCATCTATATTGTTGAATCAGGACTGGGGAATGAATTTACAAATCGATGCAAAATGGCTTTTCCCAAGGAAGGGTAAGATAACAATACGAGGGGTCTTACCGAGTTGTGCAGAGCACCACAAAGAAAAGCGGACAGCCCCTCTAGCAACAGAATGCCCGGGACGGTGTGCCAAACTATGGCTGTTTTTTCATTGAAGACATTCAGTAATTTTTTGTCCATTTCAATGTGTTTCATAATTTCTCCCTACAAAAAAAAATCACTCATCTCCAAAAACCCAGCAGCTAAGTAGTTCTTCTACATTATCTTGCTTTCATTTATCCTTAATCCTTTTGCCTTTGGCAGGGTTGGATGGTCTTTCTTCGCCCCCACCAAGGAGGCTTCGGAGGGAAAAGAGGGTGTAAATCCAATCCCTCCACTCCTCCAGGCACCCTCCCATTTCCGCCACAGGGGCGAGGATGGCTCAAGGCTGGGCTTGGCTCTGTCCCTTCCCCGCAGGCCCCGCCCCCAGCCCGCGCAATAATTGAGCTGCGCGCAAAGGTCACGTTATCAGCCTGTGACGCTTCCCATCCAGTACGTGGCACACATTGCTCAGAAAAGCCCCTTGTGCCCGCTTTCTGCCATCCGCGCTGTCTCGTGTCTCCCTTTTTCCATTAAATGCCTCTTTTCTTGCGGGTCTCATCTCGGGAATAGTGCACTACGGGGACATACCTATCCCCAACTATCCTAGGCCCGAGAACCAGCCCTTGCCTTCGCGTAACAGGCGGAGACTCGCTGAGGCGAGTTGCACTTCTAATTGGGCGTGAGGTCTTGTCAATCCCCAAGTTCTTCCAATCAGAAGTCCGGTCCATCCAGCCTTCCGCTCCCCATTGGCCTGTGTGGAGGAAGAGGGGTGGGTAAGCCGAAGTCGCTGCGCTCAGTGCGCAGGCGCGAAGAAGCTGGCAGGGGCACGAGCCGGGGGCGGGTTTGAAGACGCGTCGTTGGGTTTTGGAGGCCGTGAAACAGCCGTTTGAGTTTGGCTGCGGGTGGAGAACGTTTGTCAGGGGCCCGGCCAAGAAGGAGGCCCGCCTGTTACGATGGTGTCCATGAGTTTCAAGCGGAACCGCAGTGACCGGTTCTACAGCACCCGGTGCTGCGGCTGTTGCCATGTCCGCACCGGGACGATCATCCTGGGGACCTGGTACATGGTAAGGCGGGCAGGCGTGGCGCGTATGTCCGGGGGGCCTGGGGAGCGGGGCCTGGTGCGGAGGGGGTGAGACTGGAAACGGGGTGTTGGGTGGGGCGGGGACTTGGAGGGGCGCTGCTTTTTAAGGCGCGCCAACTCTGGATGAAGTCCAAGGACTTTGGGAAAGTAACCTTGTTCAGGAATCGGAGTCGGGGGAGCGGGGGGCGGTGGTAAGCATGGGGAGATTGTTCTTTGGCAAGAATTTGAGGAGAGAAGCGGGCTTGGGAGAGCAGAGGCTTTGCAGGCGAAGGGACGAGGGTGGTAGGATTTGGTGGGAATTCCTCTGTTTTGGTTCTTGTTGTATTTCTACGATCTGAAAGGCAGCATCTCCCTTCCTCCTATCCAGTGCTCCCTGGAATTTTTTCCTCTAATGAAATAATTAGGAGCGGACCTTGGTAAACGCAGTCTAGTTTCGACATTGGTCTTCCCGTTGGGAAAGCGAAAGATCCAGCGGTAACCCGGTTGTCCGCGTTTCTTGGACTTTGTTTTGTTTCATGCCTCTCTTGCATCTCCAGAATCGCTTGGGGGCGATAGCTTTTGCCTGAGTTGACGCCTGACCAGCTTTTGTCCTGGTGCAGCCTCCTCCCTGCGCAGTAGGTGCTTTTCGTAGCCGACCGGCTGTTTTTACAGAGACCTTTATTGAGAGCCCTCTCCATCCTGGCCACCTACCCCGGTATCTCCTGGGTTCCAAGATCTGTGTGATTCTGTCCTAACCAAGTTGACACTGTTGTTGCCTGGTGATTCACTAGTAATAAGTTTGTGATTTTTTCTTTTGTAATTCACCATTTATAGTATCCATGCACATTAAACCTAACTTGTCTATGACTTCCAAATATGGGATTCAGTTTAGGTAGTTTTAGGTTATTATGATTTTGCCGAAGCCGTGACAAACTTCCTACATGGTCGACTTGGCCACTTTAATGACTTCGCGAATGTGGTTGTGTGGGTGACGTTGGTGATACTGTGCAGTTTTTGATACTTAACTGCAAAAGAGGAAGAGAGTTATCCCAGACACAATCTGTTTTCTCTGTACTTGCTGCTTCTCCCCACTCATTGACTTGAAATCATTAGTAAGCATTTGGACAAACGCCAGATGAGAATCATCTTAAATGAGGCAGATACTGTTTCATGGCCCACCCCCGGGGGACTACCTGACTCCACATGACTGCTACCTGCCCTGTTGTTTTTTACCGTCTTGTTTCTGATGTACATTTAAAAAACAACACGAATGTGTAGGTTTGCTTGTGCTGAGTTTATTTTCATGTTTCCTGTACTTTTATATTCGGAAATACCGCCTTATTGACAGAACTATATCACATTTTCCCTCAGAGACTCTTTCGTTCTGTATTTTAACTGATTTGGAATACTAAACATAGAGTTAATGACCATCAGCTGCATTATGTTTCTAACTTCCTTTTATAGCTTCTCCATTTTGCTGAGGGGCTGGGTCTCATTTCTTTTGTTTGTCCTTAGCTCTGTCTTCTATTTCCCTAAATGAATAATTCAAACCTTGAGGATCCTCAAGGCTATTACTCAATTCCGTCTTCCTCACCCCCAGAAGATGACTTTCTTTCCTATTTAACTAAGAGAATCCATCGACCTGGCTCTCTCCTGCAGTCTTAGTCTTCCTGTTTCTTCTCAGATCCTTCCCTCCACTCACAGAACAAAGGATTCCTAACTCCTCAAGAAGAGAATACCACCATTTCTATTTCAACCATCCGAATGTAATTGGCTGTATTTCTTTTCAGTTTTTCTCAGGCAGATTTTTTGATGCTGTGGGCTCAGCTAGAAAATGAATAGAATAGCAGGATAAAGTGGGAACTACAAACAGGAAACTCAAAATGCAGAGAGAAAAACTTCATTACGGGCGCTTATTCTTACAAAATAGGGAGTGAGGAGTTTACATCTGTTCCCTACTTTAAGCCCTTGTTGTGAGAAGGGTTCACATACCTCTGAAGACCATGCTTTAGTTTCACAATTTTAAAAAGATGCCATAGCTGTTCTTACTTTGCATAGACTTCTCAGATTAGTGTAAAACATTTTATTGTAAACTTCTTAAATCGTTTGACCTGTCTTAAATTGATTAAGAGATTTACTGACCACCTGCAGTGTAAAAGGCTTTGGTGGACAAACAAAAGGAATAAATCACAGGGGCCATGTGTCATTTGCCTTGTTTTCCTATTACCTGCTAAGTGCTAGACTCTCAAATGTTTCTTGTCTAACACAGCATCTGCCCTTAAGATATTTATGGTATCACAAACTTGGAGCACAGATATGAAAAACATATGGTACAGTGATGAGGAGGAGGAGAAGGTGATCAGTAATATCAGATTCTAATCAGAATAAGTACTGGAAAAAGGCCATTGGTTTTGTTTATTATAGTTTTGTTGATGACTTTCAAAAGAGTAGCTTGAATACCATAGCAGTGTAAAGACAGTCTCTACCAACTTGGGGAGACATGTAACACTTATGATGCAAGACCACCTAAGCCAAACTGTAGTATAATACTTCGAAGCAAAGAAGGCTTGTCCAAGTAGTGCATTTTATTCTCAGAAGCTGCTTTACTAAGACAGAGAAACAATATGGGGATGAGTGAGTATTAAATGTCACTTCCCTCCCTACCTACCTTGTCAAGGTACTCTCTTGCTTGATTCCTGGTGAGGCAATAATTCAGTCTGCATGGGAGAATATTTATGTTTCTTTTTACATTACGTGGGACAGACTTCTGAGATGATGATTCCCCCTGTGTCATTTGGAACTTGGGGGAGCCCCTCTCCCTCGCTATCAGTGACTGTATCTGATACAGTCTCATTGCTTTCTAGCCACGGCTTCTACTGGTCTAGTGTTAAAGTATCGTAACACCATATACTAAAATATTCATTGTATGGTACAAAATAGTGCTGTGGGACATAGAGAAAGCCAGAACCAGTTATTATATGCACCGGAGGTACCAGCCCTGAAGTGTGAGCCTTTCGTATTTTAGCTAGAAAAGAAGCATACCTGGTTAAGTAACAGGAAATTTCAGAATGAGCTCATGTTTAAATTCTGGCATTCCTGAAATGGTTTTCTCTATCATTTATTGAAGAATTTGAAGCCAGTTGATTTTAAACAAGTTTCTTATGAGGTATAAACTCAAATGTTTATTGAATAATTGAAAATGGACTTAAAAGTGTGCTGTAGTAGATATACTTTGTGATTAATGGTGTGCACTACAAGACTACATTTTGAGCATTTGTAATAATTTTATCTCTTAGACTTAATATATGGCTAATTTTTCATGAGTGTCTCAACCATAAACAGTTTGAAGTTCTGTATCTGGGAGAGAAGTAAAAACAGGTTTCCTTAAGCTCTATTCCTTTCTAGCCCTCACCTCTGACTTCAAGTAAGCATAGCTTGTTTATATTTGTTAGTTTCCTTCCTTAAACTAAGGAAGTTTTGTGCCTCTGCCTTTGCATATGCTATTCCTTCTCCCTGAAATGTTGCTGTCCTCCCAAGTCACTTTCTAAAAATTTTATTAAGGAAATTTTCATACATACAAAAGTAGTGAAGTAGTACGAAAACCTCCCATTTATTCATCACCCAGCTTCAACCATTAACAACATTTTGCCAAGTCCAGATAATTTAATGGTTAGCTCACATGTTTTCGTGGTAAAACTTTCCTTTTTTTTTTTTTTTGAGACGGAGTCTCGCTCTGTCGCCCAGGCCGGACTGCGGACCGCAGTGGCGCAATCTCGGCTCACTGCAAGCTCCGCTTCCCGGGTTCACGCCATTCTCCTGCCTCAGCCTCCCGAGTAGCTGGGACTACAGGCGCCCGCCACCGCGCCCGGCTAATTTTTTGTATTTTTAGTAGAGACGGGGTTTCACCTTGTTAGCCAGGATGGTCTCGATCTCCTGACCTCATGATCCACCCGCCTCGGCCTCCCAAAGTGCTGGGATTACAGGCGTGAGCCACCGCGCCCGGCCTTTTTTTTTTTTTTTCTTTTTTGAGACAGAGTCTTGCTCTGTCACCAGGCTGGAGTGCAGTGGTGCGATCTCGGCTCACTGCAACCTCCGCCTCCCAGGTTCAAGCGATTCCTCTGCCCCAGCCTCCCAAATAGCTGGGACTACAGGCACCCGCCACCATGTCGGGCTAATTTTTTGTATTTTAGTAGAGACGGGGTTTCACCGTGTTGGCCGGGATTGTCTCGATCTCCTGACCTCATGATCTGCCTGCCTTGGCCTCCCAAAGTGCTGGGATTACAGGCGTGAGCTACCATGCCCAGCCAAGCTTTCTTTACTTCCTAGCCAGGGGGATCTGTTTTTCTCACGGTGCACCTGCAAAAGTTTCTGGATCCTTCTTGTATGTACTTATTAAATAGTACTCAGTACACATTGGTAGGATTGTCCTTTTCTCTTATTTTTCTCTCTACAGCAAGATGTTCTCCTGGAGGGAAGAGGGTGATGTCTTTATAAGGGCAGTGGCTCACGCCTGTAATCCCAGCATTTTGGGAGGCCAAGGCAGGTGGATTGCCCAGGAGTTCGAGACCAGCCTGAGCAACATGACGAAACCCCCTCTCTACCAAAAAAAAATATATATTATATTATATATATATTTATATATTATATTATATATATATTTATATAATATATATTTATATATAGATATATAATATATAAATATATATAAAACATATAAAAATATATATACACACACACATACATACATATATATATTAGCGGGGCATGGTGTGGTGGTGCATGCCTGTAGTCCCAGCTACAGGGGAGGCTGAAGTGGGAGGATCACTTGAGCCGGGGAGGCAGAGGTTGCAGTGAGCCTAGATCGCAGTAACTACTCTCCATCCTGGGTGACAGAATGAGACCCTGTCTCAAAATAAAATGTGTGTGATGGCTAACTTATTAATTAAAACATTTGAGGTGTTCATTACACATTTGTTGAATGAATGTCTCCTCCAAAAAATATTGTGAATACTCAGTTGTATCTGCATGTAACAGTAAACAACAACAAAAAACTTTTTTTTTTTAAATTATACTGTAAGTTCTAGGGTACATGTCCACAGCGTGCAGGTTTGTTGCATAGGTATACATGTGCCATGTTGGTTTGCTGCACCCATCAACTCATCATTTACATTAGTTATTTCTCCTAATGCTATCCCTCCCCCAGCCCGCCACCCGCTGACAGGCCCTGGTGTAGGTGTGTGATGTTCCCCACCCTGTGTCCAAGTGTTCTCATTGTTCAGTTCCCACCTATGAGTGAGAACATGCGGTGTTTGGTTTTCTGTCCTTGTAATAGTTTGCTGAGAATGATGGTTTCCAGCTTCATCCATGTCCCTGCAAAGGACATGAACTAATCCTTTTTTATGGCTAAAAAACGTTTTAAAGATAGTCAATTTTGATCTTTATCAGATAACAGGCTTTGCTTAGTTCTGTAGATTGACCCTCCTGTGGGTGCTTTCTCTGCATGGGAAGCCCTTATCTGGATGCCTCCTTAAACCAGACACACTGTTTTAATTATTATCTCAGTAGATACTGGCTCTGGGCAAATTACTGTGGGAAAACTGAAAAATGATTTTTTTTTTAAAGTCTCCAGAGAATCTTCTGGAATAGGTGTGGCAGTGAAAGAAGAAAACAAAGAATTCCTCTCTTCAGGCCCTGTGCTTCCATGGATCTGATACAGTTATTTTGTAACAAGTCAAATCTAACAGATTTCTTATTGTACACACTTACATAAGATGTAGAAGCTTTCAAAAACAATGCACACCACCTGATTTGACTGATTAAATTTACAGTACTGTTAACACATTGAGTGGTGAATCCGCAGCCCATGCTGCTAAAATATTGCTGCATTCTATACCTCTCCATATTGCCAAGTTTAGAAGTTAATAATTTAATCTTTTTTTTTTTTTTTTAAAGAGATGGGGTCTTGCTATGTTGCCTGTGCTGGTGTGCAATGGCATGATTATAGCACACTGCAGCCTTGAACTGGGCTCAAACAATCCTCCCACCTCAGGCACCTGACCAGCTGGGACTACAGGCACACACCACTGTCCCCAGCTTAATCATTCTTTTTAAATTACATTTTTATTAACTTTCTTTCCTGAATACAGTGAAAGGAAAAAGTGAATCAGGAATAAATATTTGTAATAGTTAGTACATAGTTGGATATTTTCAGAGAAATTTTGTATTGTAAGATTACAGTTAATTTTATGTATTTTTTGAAAAGCTAAACATGTAATTTAGAAATATCAACTTTAATCAGAGATAAGTTGCCAGGGCTTACATGTGAGCACAAGGTAGGCGTTCGTTGGTGAATATCTTTAAGATCAAAGGATGCCAGGAGCGGTGGCTCGTGCCTGTCATCCTAGCACTTTAGGAGGCCAATGCAGTAGGATCACTTGAGGCCAGGAGTTCAAGACCAGACTGGACAACATAGTGAGACTCCATCTCTACAAAAAAAATTTTTTTAAGTCACAAGGATGGGTTTTCCAGTGTAATACTTTAAGATGTAAGTTGGGGTTCTAATGAAATGATGTGATCTAATGGAATATAATTAACTCAAAGAAGATTTGGAAAAAGCTTTTAATGAAGTAGCATTGAAATTTATTTCACTGTTTCTTGGTCCTTCTGATTGGCCCTACGATTTATTTTGTTTAATATTTAGTGGTATGACCCACAGTGAAATTAAACTTGAAGTGTCTCTAGTACTAAAAGAAGATAATAGTGGATGAGCGTGTGACTTATCCATGGAAGAGAAGAAAAGTGAAGAGTTCTTTTGTTTTTTAAGAGACAGACTTAGTATTGTTGCCTAGGCTGGTCTCCAGAGCTCAGGCGATCCTTCCCACCTCAGCCTCCCAAGTAGCTGGGACTATAGGTGTGAGATTTTTAGAAATCCTTCATGTAATAAAAATATTTAAGAAGGGAAAATAGAACTCCTAAATGTTTTTGGCATGTCATTCCCTTCATTTAGTAATTGGGTTTGCATGCTTTTCTTGACAAAGGAATTTCTGTACCGCAGAGAGCTTTTTCACTGTGACTATGCTGTGTTTAGCAAAGAAGAGTTTGCCTAATTGATTTCAAACTGATTTCCATACACAGAACATATAACGTTTTAGTAGATATATCTGATAGTTCAGTAATTAATTCACCTAGTTGTATTAGCTCATACTCATACACCACACACGCTGGCCAAAACCCATTGCAGCAAATGTGGGCAACAAAAAAAATCAGCTTTCAACTGGGGAGAGCCACCTTGCAAAAGTGATTGTTCCTGGTAAGTCCTCTCAAGAATTGAAAGATATCATGCCTTGCCTCTGAACAATGCAAGGAAAGAGGCTTGCTGCTGAACATAGACAGTAAAGTCTAAACATTTTATAGCCTTAGATAATGGTTTCTTTGGGAAAGACCTTAAAATAGGAGTTACTGGGGAATGTTTATTAATAATCACGTAGTGCTGAGAAGGAGGATGTCTTAAAAACCAGACTTGTGTCCTGATTCTCCCATCTGTCAGCTCAGCAAGCTTAACACAAGTTATATAGCTTTACTGAATCTTAAGTTTCCCCATCTACACATAGGCTTTGGTAATACTTACTTCACGGGTTGTTGTGAGGAATAAGTGAAGTAATACACGTAAATACACATGTCATAAAGCATATCCTCAATAAATATTGGTTGATTCCAAATTTCATATTGTGGCATTGTTTAGATCACCTACCCTAAAATAAAACTTGATCTGCTTATCTAGCGGATGTTAGTGAAATGACTTCAGCTGATAAAAGGAAAATGCATTTCCTGTGTGTTTATCATTCAAGGTGAAACAGGAGAGAAGTATATAATAGTTTGTTTAAAATACTATCGATAGCTGGCCGACACAGTGGCTCACACCTGTAATCCCAGCACTTTGGGAGGCCAAGGCTGGTGGATCACTTGAGGTCAGGAGTTTGAGACCAGCCTGGCCAACGTGGCGAAACCCCACCTCTACTAAAAATACAAAAATTAGCCAGGCTTGAATGGTGCACGCCTGTAGTCCCAGCTACTCGGGAGGCTGAGGTGTGAGAATGGCCTGAACCCAAGAGGTGGAAGCTGCAGTAAGCCGAGATCGTGCCACTGCACTCCAGCCTGGGTGACAGAGCGAGGCTTGGTCTCAAAAAAAAAAAAAAAAAAAAAGGTCCCAGCTACTTGGGAGGCTGAGGTGTGAGAATTGCTTGAACCCAAGAGGTGGAAGCTGCAGTGAGCTGAGATTGCGCCACTGCACTCCAGCTTGGGTGACAGAGCAAGGCTTGGTCTCAAAAAAAAAAAAAGTCCCAGCTACCCCGGGGACTGAGGCAGGAGAATCGCTTGAACCCAGGAGGTGGAGGCTGCAGTGAGCCGAGATTGCGCTACTGCACTCCAGCCTGGGCGACAGAGCGAGACTCCATCTCAAAAACTAAATAAATTAAAATACTACTGATAGGAACTTAACCCTTGAAAATTCCAGATGTTCACATTTTCACAAAGGGAAGGAGGGCAAATTCTGTGAACTTTACTATGCTAGATAAGGAAGCCTAACTCCAATCCTACGTGAGATTTCTGTCTTGAGTCGTTAACAATACTCTTTCTGAGTACTTAAATGCAGTGAAGCCTCCTGGGATACCACAGGGATTGGCCAACAACTACAGGCACAACTCATTTCCTTTTAAAATGGATTTACAACCCTGGGAGACTAGGAAAATTCAGATATTATAATGGGATTTCAGCAGGCTGTTCCTCTAAAGAGCTAAACAATTTTATTCAGAAGTTGCTAGTTAATGGGAAGGGGCAGCCTCTGGCAGCTTTGTCCTCACCTCTGTTCTCTTTTGTTAGTAACTTAGATGGAAATACTGATTACATGCTGATCCTAAATTCAGGAAGTTGAGACAGTAAATCTGTAGTGTGTCAGAATCCACATCCAGAAAATCTTCATAGGCAAGAATGTAATAAGATGAAACTCAATTACAGGTATATTAAGGCCTATGCTTGGGCCTCTGAATCCAACTGTACAGGTGGGAGCTTAGCACAATCAAGTGTGAAAAAGAACTTGGTGTTTTAGGGAGTTACTCTCATGTGATATTCAGAAAATTTGTAAAGCCAATGCAGGCTGGGTGCGGTGGCTCATGCCTGTAATCACAGCATGTTGGGAGGCTAAAGCAGGAGGATCACTTGAGGCCAAGAGTTCAAGACCAGCCTAGGCAATATGGTGAGACCTTGTTTCTAACAAAAACAAAAAACCTCAGTACAACTTCAGGTTGCATTAATTGAAATTCGTTAGCCAGAATATGAGAACTGAGATCCCATTATGTTCTGACCAGGGTGACTTTACCTCATTTTAATATATGTCCATCAAACTGGAGCATGTGTAAAGAGGAAGACAAAAGGGAAATAGGTAGCTAGGAAACATGCTAGTCAGAGGAATGGCTTAAAGATCTGCATGTCTATTCTAGAGAACACAGTATTTGGAGGCTGTTTTCAGGTATTGGAGCACTTATTTAGAAGGGAGAGCACATTATCTCAAAAGGTAGATTTAAGGCCGGGCGTGGTGGCTCACGCCTGTAATACCAACACTTTGGGAGGCTAGGGCTGGGTGTATCACTTGAGGTCAGGAATTAGAGACCAGCCTGGCCAACATAGTGAAACCCCGTCTCTACTAAAAATACAAAAATCACCCGCGTATGGTCGTGGGCACCTGTAATCCCAGCTACCAGGTGGCTGAGGTGGGAGGATCACATGAGCCTAGGAAGGGGAGGCTTCAGTGAGCTGAGATTGCACCACTGCACTCCACCCTGGGCAATAGAGTGAGACTCCATATCACACACACGCACACATACACATACACACACACACACAAAAGTAAGACTAGTAGATAAGTGACTTTCAGTATCTTGGTAAGTCTCTTAAGCATTTGAGTCTAGCTCTAGAGGAAATAGTGAGTTCTCTGTCACCTGATGAGAGATGCTGTGGAGGGGTTTCGGGCATCTGATGAATAAATATAACAGATGAACAGTAACTTCTTCAAATCCAGAAATTCTGAGATTGGTATATGAATAAATAGGTAGCTTCGAACATGAACCATTTGTAATGATTCTTTAGTTTTAATTTTTTTCTGGTGTATTGGTTAAGCATCTTATCTCTCAAATGGTTAATATTACTTATACTTTATAAAATATTTATTTTTAAATTATTCTCATAGTGGTAATTGCGTATTGTTTTATCTCACAGGTAGTCTCCCACTATTTTATATCTTTGTTACTTCAAGTAAGACAATCTTAAATATGAGAGGACATCTAGAGATTGTGCTAAGATTGCGTCGTGATGGTAATTAATGTAACTGATAGAATGTTATCTTTTCCAGGTAGTAAACCTATTGATGGCAATTTTGCTGACTGTGGAAGTGACTCATCCAAACTCCATGCCAGCTGTCAACATTCAGTATGAAGTCATCGGTAATTACTATTCGTCTGAGAGAATGGCTGGTATGTGTTTAATAGAAAAACAAAAAAATCTCCCCTGCTAATTTTTATATACAGTCCTGTGTTGTTTAATGATGGGGACACATTCTGAGAAATGTCACTGGGTGATATTGTTGTGTGAACATCATAGGGTGTACTTACACAAACCTAGATAGCGTAGCCTACTATACACCTAGGCGATGTGGTAGAGACTCCTAGGCTAAAACCTGTACAGCAGGTTACTGTACCGAATACTGTAGGCAGTTATCATACAGTGGCAAATAGGTGTGTATCTAAAGATGGAAAAATATAGTAATACTGTAAATACACTATTACAGTGTTATGGAACCCTCATGATATATGCAGTCCATTGTTGACCAAAATGTTGTTGGCCCATGTCTGTCTGTCTCCACACACACTGGTTATTTAGGGGATTGATTAGATTATGCTTAAGTTACATTTCAGAAAGTTAAAATGGTTACATAATAAGGGTAACAAGTTAAATTATATTTAAGTCATTCTTGCTGAGGCAGGAAAGTATTTTGATGGGTTTTTCAGAGAGATTCAGTGAGGATTACAATAGAGCATTTCTAGCCAGAAAATGTAATGGACTATTAAGTTTTTGAGAAATGTGTAAAATGTACCTTGAAATCAAAATAAGCATGCAGGCTTCATAAGACTTTTTTTTTAATGTAGCTACTAGTAGAAAGGAGAAGTTGCTATGGTTACAATATATGTGTCCCTCCAAAATTCACATGCTGGAGCTTAACCTCCAAGGTGATGATATTAAGAGGTAGGACCCTTGGGTGGTGATTAGGCCATGAGGGCTCTACCCTTATGAATGGGATAAATGCCTTTCTTTTTTTTTGAGACAGAGTTTTGCGCTTGTTGCCCAGGCTGGAGTGCAGTGGTGCGATCTCGGCTCAGGGCAACCTCTGCCTCCTGGGTTCAAGCGATTCTCCTGCCTCAGCCTCCTGAGTAGCTGGGATTACAGGCACACACCACCACACCCGGCTAATTTTTTGTATTTTTAGAGTTACTCCATGTTGGTCAGGTTGGTCTCGAACTCCCGACCTTAGGTGATCCACCCGCCTCAGCCTCCCAAAGTGCTGGGATTACAGGCGTGCCACAGCGCCCAGCCAGCGCCCTTCATTTTTAAAATCACATTTATATTATTTATTTGTTTAAAAAAAGTTTTTTAGAGAAAAGGTCTTACTTTGTTGTCCCAACTGGAGTGCAGTGGTACAGTAATAGCTCACTGTAACCCAGAATTCCTGAGCTCAAGTGATCCTCCCACCTCAGCTGCCTGAGTAGCTAAATTTTTGTGGAGATCGGGTCTCCCTGTCTTTACCAGGCTGGTCTTGAGCTCCCGGCTTCAAGGGACCCTCCCACTTCAGCCTCCCAAAGTGCTGAGATTACAGGCATGAGCCACTGTGCCCAGCCCATAGCAGACTCTTGAAAGCCGATTATTTGAATTACAAATTTTGCTTTCAAGTTTGATAATACCTGTTTAATTTCATATTTTGTTTTTACCTGAATTCTTCTAAGTGGAAGTTTGCATGTTGTAGCAGGGAAGTCCTTTAAATTCTTAACATTTATCAATCCTGTATCCTCTAAGAAAAAAGTAAAGAGGACTATTCCTAGTTTAGTGCCAAATATTGATGAGGTTTTACTGCCCAGTGATAAATTATATATACATGCTGTGCATGGTGGCTCATGCCTGTAATCCCATCACTTTGGGAGGCCGAGGCAGGTGAATCACTTGAGGTCAGGAGTTTGAGACTAGCCTGGCTAACATGGTGAAATCCTGTCTCTATTAAAAATACAAAAATTAGCTGGGCTTGGTGGCGCAGGCCTGCAATCCTAGCTACTCTGGAGGCTGAGGCAAAAGAATCTCATGAACCTGGGAGGCAGAGGTTGCAGTGAGCTGAGATTGTGCCACTGCACTCCAGCCTGGGTGACAGTGAGATTGTCTCAAAGAAAAAAAAAAAGTTGTATATACATTTACCCAATAGGGAATATTCAGCAGTTGTTCTAGTCATTCATCATTATTAGTGCCCTCAGTATTTTTTTTCTTTTTTCATTTTTAAAACATCTTTTGTGCATACAGGGTCTTGCTATATTGCCCAGGTTGGTCTTGAACTCCTGGCCTCAAGTAATTTTCCCACCTTAGTCTCTCAGAGTACTGAGATTACAGGTGTGGGTTGCCGTGCCCATCCCCCCCAGTTTCTTAATCTCTGCCCAGACGGATCACCTGATGTTGGGAGTTTAGACCAGCCTGGCCAACATGGTGAAACCTCGTCTCTACTAGAAATACAGAAATTAGCTGGATGTGGTGGTGCTTGCCTATAATTCCAGCTACTTGGGAGGCTGAGGCAAGAGAATCACATGAACCTGGGAGGTTGAGGTTGCAGTGAGCCGAGATCGCGCCACTGCACTCTAGCCTGGGCGACAGAGCAAGACTCTGTCTCAGGAAAAGAAAGAAAAAACTGTCCAGAGTCACAGAATCAACTACAGATTTGTGCTAAGAAATTCAGTAAGTCAGGCACGGTTTAGAATTGCTTGAGATTACTTGGCTGTTTTGTGAAAAAATTAGTGAACATGGATTAATGGAGAGTTGGAACAACCTGAGGAAGAGTTGAGAAACGAAGAAGAAAGTAGTGTGTGTTAACATAGATACCAGGGTGCAGGAAGCAATGAATTTTGGTGTTTGGGAGGTTGGGTGGGGAAGTGAGGTTAATGGCGAAATTTGAATTTCAGGTTATATTTATCTAGAGCAAAGGGTAATGTATGTAGCATTCTGAGTTTAATACACTTGTCTTTTAAGCAATTGCCAGCCATTCCTTCCAGCTAAACCCTACTCATAAGACCCATCTTGTGTCATTTCTTCATATTTTTTCCTGATGCTTCAGGCAAAGCAAATTGTTTCTGCCTCTGTTGTAGCACTTGACACATTGGATTATAATGATCTGTTTGCACATCTTCAGATTCCTGGGCTCATAAGGGCACAGGGACCTGTTTCTCTAGCAGAGAATGTGGTTCATGTGCCATCCTACACCCATGTCAGTGAGTCGTTGGAGCGATTTAACAAATAAGTGCTTTGTGTGAATGTCTCAAGGTTCCTTACTTCATGCTGAGACTTTGATTTTTTTTTTTTTTTTTTACCCTCTTGGCCTTAGATCTTTTTATAGCCAATTTTGAAAATATTTAAATTTAATATTTTAAAGCTAGCTTTAAGTGAAGTTTTGTTCTTTTTGTTGTGTAAGTAGCTTAATTAGATTTTTGTTTTTGTTTTCTTAGATAATGCCTGTGTTCTTTTTGCCGTCTCTGTTCTTATGTTTATAATCAGTTCAATGCTGGTTTATGGAGCAATTTCTGTAAGTATACTGTATTTTCATCTTTTAGAGTTTGACCTTAGGGGAGCTTAGTAATTTCCTATATGTGATACAATGTTATGGTTGTTATTTTTTCTCCAGTATCAAGTGGGTTGGCTGATTCCATTCTTCTGTTACCGACTTTTTGACTTCGTCCTCAGTTGCCTGGTTGCTATTAGTTCTCTCACCTATTTGCCAAGAATCAAAGAATATCTGGATCAACTAGTAAGTGTGTATGCTCATTAAACTTATTTTTTTTTCATTTTGAGTAAAATGTTTACATTTAAATTCTGAATCAGCCTTAGGTATTATTTTTAACTACTCCGCTTGCTTTTGAAAGTGTCTTAAAATAATTATTTCTGCTCTCTTAGCTACTGTGACAAAACTGGCAAGATGAAAGTAGAGTAATTTCTTACCATCCATTTGGATAATGCAGTATTAAGAGTTCCTAGAAATGGATATTATGGAACTAGTAGTTCAGCTTTTGTTTTTGAGCATCCAAAGGTACAGTAATTTGACTGTGTATGGCACTCTTTAAGTGACTAGCTTATTGTCTTTACAGACATCTGTAGCAAGTATTCCAGTGCCTACTATGTTTTTAGCCCTTTGCTAGGCACTGTTGGTGAATGGTGTGGATATAAAGATAACTGCGAATATTACAGTTTAGCGAGCAAACTGTAATATTTGGGGAGTCAAGATACATGAAGATGTTACCTGTGATAACAAGCGGGAGCTGTCACAGCAGCAGCAAATAAGGAACTTCGATTAATGTCATATGGAGGGGGGCAGGGAAAACTCTGGGCTGGGTGGCCAAGGAGGGCGTCGTGGAGGTGGTCAGAAGGAGATATGGGATCTAGGTAGATGAAAATTGGCAGGAGTATCCTCAGTTCATTTCCAAAGTGCTGTCTTTCAGAACTTTTCTTCCCACTACCAGATTTCCTGCCTAGCCCATTTTCCACACCACCAAATTCATCATTCATTTATTCAGAAAACATTCGCTGGTTGCTCTTATGTGCAAGGCACTCTGCTAGGTCATAGAGATGCATCAGTGGAGCTTACTTCCTGGTGAAGGAATCAGGAAGTTGACAGTTAACTGATACACCATTGTAGGTTACTGTGGGAGTGGATATCACATGGGTACTAAACCTGGGCTGGGAAGTGAGATTTGAATTGTACTCAGGAGTTTGAACAGGAATTAAGATAGAGAAAGTATAGAAGACAATGTTCCAGATAAAAGAGAGACCTTGAGGCAAGAAGCAGCATAGTGAGGGCACTAGAAGCTGGCCATGGTGGCTGGCACACAGAGGGAGGGTGGGGAAGCCTGGAGAAAGGTGGCCAGGGGCAGGGCTGTTGGCCTGGTCAGCCACGGTCAGCGGCTTCTGTGTGGCTCTCTGCTCATGTCATCTCCGGGGGAGAAATTTCAAGTGGTGCCTCCCTGCCTTCTGAGTAAAACCCTTAGCATAGCATTCCCTCATGAGCTCCACCTTCTGTGTTTTTCTTTTTGTTTATAGATGAAGATCAAAAAAACAGCTTTTTTCCCAAGGAGACAACCTGGCTGGGGTTTGGGGAGTAGTGTGTTCTTAAAATTTTTTTTTTCTATTTTTTTCAGTCCTTTGGGATTTCTGTTTATGTTGCTTTTTAAATGAAAATGTAATTAGGCCTTCTTGTTGACATTTCCATTAAAAACAAGCATAACTTAAAAAAATTAAATCAGCTTTATAGAAAAGAAGATAAAAATTTATTATTCCTTTTAGAGACCCTGGTGTTTTCTCTCCTCTGTTTTGTTCACTTAGTGCCTCAGACTGGAAGGTATTTCCTCTGTTGGTTAGTTTTTAAATCTGAAATTCTTCTTTTATAACACCTTTCTCCCTGAACTTAGCTCATTGCCTTGTACACAGTCAGGGCTGATTAAGTATTTAAATGAATATAGCTGATGCTTTTCAGTAGAACAGAGTATGTCTGCAGTAAAACTTATGTCTTGCCTGACATTGTAACCAGTGGGTGTATTTTTGCCCCTGTCTGATGAGAGTTGAGACAAACGATTGACATTTAGAAAAATAATTTTCCCCTTGTAGCATTAAAATGGCCCAGTTTATCTGTAGAACTTACACAGAACTGAGCATCTCCTGAGTTAATGATGCAAGTGACACAGGGACTGATCTCCAGTGCCATATAGGCGATAGTGTTTTTCCAAAGGCCAGAAAGATGGAAAATAGTGAAAAGTAAAGAGAAAACGAGCTAAATTTAGACTTTTTGGAGCATTGTGGGTTATCAAATGTACTCTAAGTGATTGTTAGCATGCATTAATGGTGATAAGGCTTAAAATTTAAAAGCACTTTGAATTAAATTCTGCTTATACATTTTTATTAAATATCACTTTTGACTTTGGTGCCTTTGTATTCTTCAGATGCTCTTCAGGTTATCAGCAAGTGCTAGTGCGATGGCTGACTTGTAAATGTGTGTGTGTTTCTTTAATAGCCTGATTTTCCCTACAAAGATGACCTCCTGGCCTTGGACTCCAGCTGCCTCCTGTTCATTGTTCTTGTGTTCTTTGCCTTATTCATCATTTTTAAGGTACGTTGCTGACTAAATCTTTAGGGGTGACTGAGATTGACACTGTGAATCTAAACCTTTTTGCTGCCTTTCACCTTACAAGTCACAGGAGATTGAGGATTTGTGGGGACAGTGTTTATTCTGGCACATGAGCAGAGATAGCTTCTAGGGAATGGTTTCTGTTGTGTTTCCAAGGAATGGTTGTAACTGTCAGGATCCTTCTCTGAGTGAAAGGACCTACTTTTTATGTTTTTGAAAAGGGGTTCATGATTTGTATTGAAAATCTGTTAAAATTCCCAAGGTTCACAAACCCAGAATTTCTTCTGCAGCACAGTGGGTTGACCTGAATTGAAGCTCCATCTCTGGTTTCTCTCTGAAATGTTGGCGATGAAACTCATGACACTTAAATGAGAGCAAGTAGGGAAAGGGCCTGGCCTGTGCTGGGTCCACACAGAGGTCAGCTCCCTTCTACACAGAGGATGTGTGGGGAAAGCATTCTAAGTCACTGGCATTTTAGAGCAGGTAGTCTGTTGAGTTTCTAGCAGATGTCAACTTTGTTTTTATTCTTCCAGGCTTATCTAATTAACTGTGTTTGGAACTGCTATAAATACATCAACAACCGAAACGTGCCGGAGATTGCTGTGTACCCTGCCTTTGAAGCACCTCCTCAGGTTAGCTACTGTTGGATAGAGTAAAAGGTCACCAGTCACTATTGACTGTTCCAGGAGAAGAACCTGGAGCTTGACTTTCTCTTTCATGCTGTAACCTATGGTTTGGGCATGAACCCTGGGTACTTTTATGAACAGCTTAAAATCCACAGGATTCAACATTTTCCACTTGGAATCCTGAGTACCTGGGTCGCTTGTCTCATCCAGTTTGGCTGTTAGATTTACTCATTAGAGGTCCTCATTAGTGTCATGTTTGTAGGGGAGATGACAGGAAACAGCTGTGTTAGGCCCATGTAGCCTGGGGCTTCTAAGGATGGGGAGTTCCATTGACTGAAACTTGTGTTGTTTTCAGAAAACATCCATATGATCCAACGGGGGAGCTGACCTGTCTGGGGAGATGAATACAGTGGTTTCATGGGTCTTTTGGGGAAGCCTACCTTTCACAGCCCTCTAATTGCTGCTGTGCTACCTTCCCAGGTTTTCAGCATATAAAATATATGTGGCCCATCTAGGGCCAGGCTTTCAGACTTGGAGTCACTTCGATTAGAATGTCACTCCTCCACTGCATAGGTGTGCCTGTTACCCTCGAAGACATGATATAAGTTCATGATCTTCTGACTACAAACTGATTCTGATGAAAGTCAGGATCCAGGAGCTAGCGTCTTATTGGGTGTTTCCTATTGCATGGTTTAACCCAACTCCTCAACACCTGAAGTGTAATTGGCACTGGCACTTCATCGGTCACACTGGAATGAGGGCAGAGCAATGGCACCCACTGCCTGCCTGTCTAGGAATCCTTGTCCAGAAGCAGGACTCTCTCTCCCCACCTCCCTCTCTCCACCCTCCCCTTCGCTAGCAATCTTGGTAAAATTCCAGGTTATTGAGGCATCTACTTGGGAACATTTTAGCTAACAGTTTCTTCAGCTCTTCTTTATGGTTTTGTATAACCCTATTTAGGGCATAAAGTCTGAAAGCTGAATTATCTCACAAAGGATTTTAAAGGAGAATTAAATCTGATACAATTTTTTTTCTCTCTTTAGTACGTTTTGCCAACCTATGAAATGGCCGTGAAAATGCCTGAAAAAGAACCACCACCTCCTTACTTACCTGCCTGAAGAAATTCTGCCTTTGACAATAAATCCTATACCAGCTTTTTGTTTGTTTATGTTACAGAATGCTGCAATTCAGGGCTCTTCAAACTTGTTTGATATAAAATATGTTGTCTTTTGTTTAAGCATTTATTTTCAAACACTAAGGAGCTTTTTGACATCTGTTAAACGTCTTTTTGTTTTTTTGTTAAGTCTTTTACATTTTAATAGTTTTTGAAGACAATCTAGGTTAAGCAAGAGCAAAGTGCCATTGTTTGCCTTTAATTGGGGGGTGGGAAGGGAAAGAGGGTACTTGCCACATAGTTTCCTTTTTAACTGCACTTTCTTTATATAATCGTTTGCATTTTGTTACTTGCTACCCTGAGTACTTTCAGGAAGACTGACTTAAATATTCGGGGTGAGTAAGTAGTTGGGTATAAGATCTGAACTTTTCATCTGCAGAGGCAAGAAAAATATTTGACATTGTGACTTGACTGTGGAAGATGATGGTTGCATGTTTCTAGTTTGTATATGTTTCCATCTTTGTGATAAGATGATTTAATAAATCTCTTTAAATACTTAGGGTTGTCATTGTTTTTAATCCGTTACTTTTTTTTAAGATAAACCCTGACATTTTCCATTACAGTGTATTCAGAGTGCCAGTGTTTATTTTTTTTTTAACTTTGAGAATACAGTTGGCCCTTCGTATCCATGGGTTCTGTATCCATGGGTTCTATATCCATGGAGTTAATCGACTGTGGATTGAAAATATTTGGGGGGAAAAATGGATAGTTGGATCTGTACTGAACATGTACAGACTTTTTATTCTTGTCGTTGTTCTCTAAAAAATACACTATAACAATTTATGTAGCATTCACATTATATTAGATATTATAAGTAATCTAGAGATCATTTTAAAAATATGGGAGGATATGCATGGGTCATATGCAAATACTATACCATTTTATTATAAGGGACTTGAGCAACTGTGGATTTGGGTATCTGGAGGGAGAACCTGCAACCAGTCCCCCATAGATACCAAGGGACAACTGCACAATGATGCACAGTTAATTAGAAATCATTTTCTTAATCCATTAACTCTAAATTTGTGGTGAAGATATTTCTTGAATCACAGGACAGAAATTAATACCGGTGGTTTGAAAAGTGATTGCTGTAGCAATCTTTTTTTTATGTCTTATTTTTTTTCTTTCCAACTTCTTAGGTTCAGAGGGTACATGTGCAGGTTTGTAACATGGGTAAATTGTGTTGCAGGGGTTTTGTCAGTGTTTTGTCATCCAGGTTGTGAGCATAGTACCTGATAGCTAGTTTTTTGATCCTCACCCTCTACTCTCAGGTAGGCCCTGGTATCTATTACTCCCTTCTTTGTGTCCATGTGTACTTAATGTTTAGCTCCCACTTATAAGTGAGAGTATTTGGATTTCTGTTCTTGCATTAATTTGCCTAGGATAATGGCCTCCAGCTCCATCCATGCTCCTGCAGAGGACATGATCTTGTTCTTTTTTATGACTGTAGTATTCCATAATATATATGTACCACATTTTCATTATCCAGTCCACTGTTGATGGGTATTTAGGTTGATTCCATGCTTTTGCTATTGTGAATAGTGCTGTGATGAACATATGTGTACATGTGTCTTTTTGGGAGAATAATTTATATTCCTTTAGGTATATACCTGATAATAGGATTGCTGGGTTGAATGGTAGAATGTTTTAAGTTTGAGAAATCCCTTATGCTGCTTTACACAGAGATGGAACTAATTTGCATTCCCACCAACAGTGTGTAAGTGTTCCCTTTTCTCTGCAACCTTGCCAGCATATGTTTCTTTTTACTTTTTAATCATAGCTGTTCTGACTGGGGTGAGATGGATTTCTCTGATTATTAGCATTTCTCTAATGGTTAGTGATGTTGAGCATTTTTTCATTTACTTATTGGCCATGTGTATGTCTTTTGAGAAGTGTCTGTTCATGTCCTTTACCAATTTTTTTTTTTTTTTTTTGAGACAGGGTCCTCGCTCTGTCACCTAGGCTGGAGTGCAGTGGCACGATCTTGGCTCTCTGCAACCTCCACCTCCTGGGTTCAAGCGATTCTCATGACTCAGCCTCCTGTGTAGCTGGGACTACAGGTGTGTGCCACCACACCCGGCTAATTTTCGTATTTTTAGTAGAGATGGGGTTTCACCATGTTAGCTAGGCTGGTCTCGAACTCCTGACCTCAAGTGTTCCACCTTCCTCAGCCTCCCAAAGTGCTGAGATTACAGCTGTGAGCCACTACACCCAGCCTCCTTTGCCCACTTTTAATGTTGTTGTTGTTGTTGTTGTTTTGTTTTTTGCTTAAGTTCCTTATAGATTCTGAATATTAGACCTTTGTCATATCCATAGTTTGCAAATATTTTCTTCCATTCTGTAGGTTGTCTGGTTGCTCTGTTGATAGTTTCTTTAGCAGAGCAGAGAAGCTCTTTAGTTTAATTAGGTCCCATTTGTCAATTTTTGTTTTTGTTGCAGTTGCTTTTGGTGTCTTCCTCATGAAATCTTTGCCAGGGCCTACATCCAGAATGGTATTTCTTAGGTGTCCTTCTAGGGGTTTTGTTTGTTTTGTTTTTTCAGTTAGGTTTTACATGTAAGTCTTGATATGGGTTTGGATTTGTGTCCCCATCCGAATCTTATGTTGAATTGTAATCCCCAGCATTGGAGGTGGTGCCTGGTGGGAGGTGATTGGATCATGGGGGTGGTTTCTCGTGGTTTAACATCATCCTTCTTGCTGCTGTTCTCGTGATAGTGAGTTATTGCGAGATCTGTGTGTGTAGCACCTCCCCCTTCTCTCTCTTGCTCCCGCTCCTGCAATGTAAGATGCTTGGCTCCCCCTTTGCCTTCTGCCACGACTGAAAGCTCCCTGATGCCTCCCCAGAAGCTGATGCTGCCATGCTTCCTGTACAGCCTGTGGAGTGAGCCAGTTAAACCTCTGTTCTTTATAAATTATTCAGTCTCAGCTATTTCTTTATAGCAGTGCAAGAACAGACTAATAGAAGTCTTTAATCCATCTTAAGTTATTTTTATATATGGTGAAGGTGTCTAGTTCTAATCTGCATTTGGCTAACCAGTTATCCCAGCACCATTTATTGAATAGTCCTTTCCCCATTACTTATTTTTGTCAACTTTATTGAAGATCAGATGGCTGTAGTTTGTATGGCTTTATTTCTGGGTTCTGTATTTGGTTCCATTGGTCTGTCTGTTTTTGTACCAGTACCATGCTGTTTTGATTACTGTAGTCTTGTAGTATAGTTTGAAGTTGGATAATGTGATGCCTTCAGCTTTGTTCTTTCTGCTTAGGATTGCCTTGGCTATTCAGGCTTTTTTTGGTTCCATATGAATTTTGAAATAGTTTTTTCTAATTCTGTGAAAATGCCATTGGTAGTTTAATAGGAATAGCATTGAATCTGTAAACTGCTTTGGGCAGTATGGCCATTTTAACAATATTGATTCTTCCTATCTGTGAGCATGGAATCTTTTTCCATTTGTTTATGTCGTCTCTGATTTCTGTCAGCAGTGTTTTGTAATTCTCATTATAGAGATCTTTCACCTTCCTGGTTAGCTGTATTCCTAGCTACTTAAGTCTTTTGTGGCTATTGTGAATGGGATTGCATTCTTGATTTGACTCTCAGCTTGGGTATTATTGTTGTATAGAAATGCTACTGATTTTTGTGTATTGATTTTATATCCTGAGACTGCTGAAGTTTATATCTAGGAGCTTTGAGGCAGAGACTATGGGGTTTTCTAAGTTTAGAATCACATTTTCTGTGAAAAGAGATATTTTGACTTCCTCTCTTCCTATTTGGATGCTTTTTATTTTTTTCGCTTGCCTGATTGTTCTCACTAGGACTTCCAGTACTGTGTTGAATAGGAGTGGGGAGAGTGGGCATCCTTGTCTTGTTCCAGTTCTCAAGCAGAATGCTTCCAGCTTTTGCCAATTCAGTGTAATGTTGGCTGTGGATTTGTCATAGATAATTCTTATTGTTTTGAGGTTACGTTCCTTTGATGCCTCATAGTTTTTTAAGGGTTTTTGCCATGAAGGGATGTTGAATTTTATTGAAAGCATTTTCTGTGTCTATCGAGATGATCATGTGGTTTTGTTTTTAGTTCTATTTATGTGATGAATTACATGCATTGATTTCCATATATTGAACCAACCTTGGATCCTAGGAATAAAGCCCACTTGATCACAGTGGGTTGGCTTTTTGATGTGTTGCTGGGTTTTGGTTCATAAAAGGCAGTTCCCCTGCACACACTGTTGCCTATTACCCAGTTCCAAAGTCGATTCCACATTTTCAGGTCTCCTTATTTATGTTCTTCAGGGATATTGGCCTGAAGTTTTCTTTTTTTTTGTTGTGTCTCTGCCAGGTTTTGGTATGAGAATGATGCTGGCCTCATAGGATGAGTTAGGGAGGAATTCTCCTCAAGTTTTTGGAATAGTTTCTGTAGGATTGGTACCAGCTCTTTATATGTCTGGTAGAATTTGGCTGTGAATCTGTTTGGGACCTTTTCCAGTTGGTAGGAGTATTATTATTACTGATTCAATTTCAGAACTCAGGCTGGATACAGTGGCTCATGCATGTAATCCCAGCACTTTGGGAGGCCAAGGCGGGTGGATTGCTTGAGGCCAGGAGTTCGAGACCTGCCTGGACAATATGGTAAAACCCTGTCTCTACTAAAAATACAAGGTCAATGTGAAAGAAAAAATATTAAAAGCAGCTAGAGAGAAGGGGCAGGTCAGCTACATCAGGTTAACAGCAGATCTTTCAGCAGAAACCCTACAAGCCAGAAGAGATTGGGGACCTATATTCAGCATTCTTAAAAATTCCAACCAAGAATTTCATATCCAGCCAAACTAAGCTTCATAATCAAAAAAGAAATAAAATCCTTTTCAGTACCTAGGATGCAAGTCCACTACAGCTCGTGTGTCCTGTGTCCCTGCTAAGGAACAAGTTGGAGATGAGGACCTCTTACTCTCTTTTCCCATCTATATTTGGCACAGTGACCCACAAAAAGCTGAGGGGGAGGGAATTAAATGTTTTCTGAATGAAATAATTTCTCTCCCCTCCACAAATTTTATACTGCTAATAGATCATTTTCAATATAATTGGGAATATACCAGTACACATACTACACTTACATTTAAAGTTTCTGGCAATAGGAAACCAAGAGATCTTTCACTGATAAGTTGTACATTTTATTCCCTCTGGTGACTCACGCTGTTTTTCAGTCTGTGGCTAATTTGTTCACAGTTATCGTGGACTTAGCTTTGTTCTGAGCCTAATTGTTCCACTATCCCTTAATAGGCAAAGGATAGATGTGCTATTTTCAGAACTCCTGCTTTCAAAGAAGGAATGTGTTATAAATAAGCCCAAGAGTTGACTGAAAGAAAAAGTTGTACCTTTGCTTTTCTGAGGTTGCTTTTTCTGTAAATGTCATGACTTTGGTTATGAGAAAATAATTTAGAAACAAGATGAGTGTTGCCAAATAATGTGGAATTCCAGGCACACGAGAGAGGCAACACTGGGATGGTGGAATGAACACAAAGTTTGGCATCAGAAGGTTGAAATTCAATTCCTGTCTTCACCCAGCGATTACACTCTGACCCTGGGAAATTTAACTAGGATCTGAGCTTCAGTTTTTGCATCTATAAAATCAGAAAGATGCAAATAACTGACCTATGAACTCGGAGTTGTTCTTAGGATCAAGTGAGGTAACAGACCCGGAAGGGTTGGCAGACCATAAATTACTGTGCAAATATTATGAGGGTGTATGAGAGCAAGGAATGGCTGGAGGAAGGGCTGGAGAGGGAGAAAAGTATTTGACCTGGAAACCAGAAAAAGAGTGACTTTGTTCCCTGTCTGTTAGAAAGGAGCTTTGTACAGTAGTCCCCCCTTATGTGTGGGGGATATACCCTAAGAACCCCAGTGGGTGCCTGAAACCATGGATAGTAACAGTACCCTCTATATACTATGCTTTTTCCTATAATACATACCTATGATAAAGTTTAATTTATAAATTAGAGTAAGAGATTAAAAGCAATAACTAATAAAATAGAACAACTACAATTTTTTTAGGTTTTTTTTATTATTATTATACTTTAAGTTTTAGGGTACATGTGCACAATGTGCAGGTTAGTTACATATGTATACATGTGCCATGCTGGTGTGCTGCACCCATTAACTCGTCATTTAGCATTAGGTATATCTCCCAATGCTATCCCTCCTCGCTCCCCCCACCCCACAACAGTCCCCAGAGAGTGATTTTCCCCTTCCTGTGTCCATGTGTTCTCATTGTTCAATTCCCACCTATGAGTGAGAACATGCGGTGTTTGGTTTTTTGTCCTTGCGATAGTTTGCTGAGAATGGTGATTTCCAATTTCATCCATGTCCCTACAAAGGACATGAACTCATCCTTTTTTATGGCTGCATAGTATCCCATGATGTATATGTGCCACATTTTCTTAATCCAGTCTATAATTGTTGGACATTTGGGTTGGTACCAAGTCTTTGCTATTGTGAATAGTGCCACAATAAACATACGTGTGCATGTGTCTTTATAGCAGCATGATTTATAGTCCTTTGGGTATATATCCAGTAATGGGATGGCTGGGTCAAATGGTATTTCTAGTTCTAGATCCTTGAGGAATCGCCACACTGACTTCCACAATGGTTGAACTAGTTTACACTCCCACCAACAGTGTAAAAGTGTTCCTATTTCTCCACATCCTCTCCAGCACCTGTTGTTTCTTGGCTTTTTAATGATCACCATTCTAACTGGTGTGAGATGGTATCTCATTGTGGTTTTGATTTGCATTTCTCTGATGGCCAGTGATGGTGAGCATTTTTTCATGTGTTTTTTGGCTGCATAAATGTCTTCTTTTGAGAAGTGTCCGTTCATGTCCTTGGCCCACTTTTTGATGGGGTTGTTTTTTTCTTGTAAATTTGTTTGAGTTCATCGTAGATTCTGGATATTAGCCCTTTGTCAGATGAGTAGGTTGCGAAAATTTTCTCCCATTTTGTAGGTTGCCTTTTCACTCTGATGGTAGTTTTTTTTGCTGTGCAGAAGCTCTTTAGTTTAATTAGATCCCATTTGTCAATTTTGGCTTTTGTTGCCACTGCTTTTGGTGTTTTAGACATGAAGTCCTTGCCCATGCCTATGTCCTGAATGGTAATGCCTAGGTTTTCTTCTAGGGTTTTTATGGTTTTAGGTCTAACATTTAAGTCTTTAATCCATCTTGAATTAATTTTTGTATAAGGTGTAAGGAAGGGATCCAGTTTCAGCTTTCTACATATGGCTAGCCAGTTTTCCCAGCACCATTTATTAAATAGAGAATCCTTTCCCCATTGCTTGTTTTTCTCAGGTTTGTCAAAGATCAGATAGTTGTAGATATGCGGCGTTATTTCTGAGGGCTCTGTTCTGTAGAACAACTACAATTTAATAAAAGTTATCTGAATGTGGTTTCCCTCTCTGTATCTCTCTCAAAACATCTTATACTGTACCTACCTTTCTTCTTGTGATCTGTTGATCTGATAACCAAGATGATTACGAAGTGCCCAATAGGTGGGTAATACATGCAGGCAGCGTGGATGCACTGGACAAAGGAGTGAGTCATGTCCAGGGCAGTACAGAGCAGGACAGTGTGAGAGTTTATCATGCTACTCAGAATGGCATGCAATTTAAAACTTATAAATTATTTTTTTAAAGCCTATGGATTATTTACTTCTGGAATTTTCCATTCAGTATTTTTGGACTGTAGTCCCCCACAGATAACTGAAACTTTGAAAAGTAAAACCACAGATAACCGGGGACTAGTATATCTGTTATCATTTGGTTAGGTTGCATCAGAGAACTTGATTTATATTCCTGGCCCTCCCACCAATTATATGAATTCAGTAAGTAATTCAGATTGCAAATGAGATTGTACATTCCTTCTTCCTCTGACCTTCTGTGACTCACTTTTGGTTAAACAGTTAATTATCTTTTATTATTATTTTTTAGAGACAGGGTCTTTATCACCCAGGCTGTAGTGCAATGGTGCAATTATAGCTCACTGCAGCCTCAATTTCCTGTCCTCAAGCAATCCTCCCTCCTTGGTCTCCCAAAGTGCTGAGATTACAAGTGTGAGCCACCACATCCAGCCAGTTCATGATCTTTTAAAGATAAAAAGATAATTTAAAAAACTACATAGGTACCCTCTTAGTTACCATTTTTGGTGTTCTTCATTCCCTTGTGTAGATACATATTTCCATCTGGTATAATTTTTCTTCTTTCAGAAAGACTTTAACATTTTTTACAGTGTGGTTCTGCTGGTGATAAGTTCTTTTGGGTTTTGTATATCTAAAAATATTTTTACTCACTTTGGGAGGTTAAGGCGGGCAGATCATGAGGTCAGGAGTTTGAGACCAGACTGACCAACATGGTGAAACCCCATCTCTACTAAAAATACAAAAAGTAGCCGGGCATGGTGGTGCGGGCCTGTAATCCCAGCTACTCAGGAGGCTGAGGCAGGAGAATTGCTTGAACCCAGGAGGCGGAGGTTGCAGTGAGCCAAGATCGCTCCACTGCACTCCAGCCTGGGCAACAGAGCAAGACACCATCTCAAAAAAAAAAAAAATTACCTTTGTTTTTCAAAAGCTATCTTCCCTGGATGTAGAATTCTAAGTGGACCTTTTTTTGGTTTATTTTTGTTTTTTTTCTTTCAGCACTTTAAAGATATTGCTTCACTGTCTTCTTGAACACATTGTTTCTAATGAGAAATTTACTGTCATCCTTGACTTTCTCTGTATGGAACATTTTTTTTCTTTGGGTAATGAACATTTTCTCTTATAGCCCTGATTTTGAACAATTTGTTTATGATGTTCCTCGATGCTGGCTTTTTGTTTTTTCACATTTGTTGCATTTGAGGTTCATTGAGATTCTTAAATCTGTAGGTTTATAGATTTCATCATGTTTGGAAAAATTTCAGTCATTATCTCTTCAAATATTTTCTCTGTCCTCTCTTCTCCCTCCTTCAGGGATCCTGTCTGGCTGGAAAAGGGAAGATAAACTTCCTACAGTGAGCAGATTTGAGATAGGTCTTGAGAGTTGGTTAGGACTTGAACTGGTAGAGATGTCAATCAAAGACTTCGCAACTTAATATGAAAGGATCAAGAGAGGAAGGAGGTCATCAAGATTTCTTTCATGCCTGTCTGGCCAGAGGAATAGTGGAATAAATGGGGAATAAAGGACAGTGAGCTTTTTTAAAAAAGAGGAAGATGAGTTCATTCTTGGTTATGATTGAGCATGACGTACTTTTGTGACCTTTAAATAGAGGAGTACAAAAGCGAGTTACAAATGTAGTTTTATTGCTCAGGAGTAGGTTGGGACAAGAGACTCTGATCTGGAAATTAGCAATATAGAGGTGGTAGCTGAAACAACGCTGGTAGTTGAGACTCCTAACATAGATGGTACACAAAGTATCAAGACCTAGTCATTTCAGCCCTTCCATTTCTAGTAATTTCTTCTAGGGAGATAATAGTAATTCACAAAGATTCATGAAAAAAGGTTCAGTGAAGCACAGCTTGCAATTAAAAACAAGTAGAAACTACATGTCCCACAATGGAAAATTGGTTAAGTAAATGAAATATACAGTGAAATACAGTACAGTCATTACAAATGTTGTATTTGAAGAATATAACAGAAAAGTGTTCACTATATGTTAAGTACAGAAAGCAAGTTATAACCCTACAACATAGCATGGTCTCATTTTTAATAAAAATGGATGCATATATAAGCAGAGACAAAAGAGGTAACACCACATAGCTTATCTTTGGGTGGTAGTCTATGGATGGTCTTTCCATTCTTTTGCTTATCTACAGTTTCTACATTCTGTATAGTAAAGTATATGTTACTTTTATACTAAGAAAAAAATCGATTTTCCTTTTTAAAAGCTGATTTAGAAAAAAGCCTGTGGACTTCCACACTTCATAGAGCATGGAAAGAAGAAAAGGAAGTGGCAAATGAGAGAGACAGTGTAGAATCAGGACTATAGGACAACCTGGGATGAAGGGGCTAACACTGGAGCTCCTGCCAAAAACAGGGTGATCTAAACTCTACCAAGAGGCCTCTGGGCTTGGTGATCTGAGCCATTATGCACTTAGGAGAGCACTTTCCTTAGGATAGTGCAGGGGAGGAAGGAAGAGCACTTTCCCCAGGATGGTACAGGGGAGGCAGTAAGAAATGGGTTAAGAAGTGATAGCTGTTGAGAAGTGTGGTGTGGAGAGAAGGAGGTGGGAGGATAGTCACTCATTGGCCCCAGATGTTTCATGACCCCAGATCCAGATGCTCAGCAAGTCCCATTCATAACAAAGACATGGGGCCACTGTGCAGTTTCCTTGCTGGTGGCCATTTCCTTGCACCTGCTCTTACTGCAGATACAGGCCTGTTGCCAAGATCATTCGAATGAGATACTACAAACTGCAGGACACAAACTCCCTCGGCATAGCAGTTGCCTCCTGATATGGTTTGGCTGTGTCCCCACACAAATCTCACCTTGAATTGTAATAATCCCCACATGTCAAGGGTGGGGCCACGTAGAGATAATTGAATCATGGGGGCAGTTTCCCCCATACTGTTCTCATGGTAGTGAATAAGTCTCATGAAATGTGATGGTTTTGTAAATGGGAGTTCCCCTGCACAAGCTCTCTTGCCTGCTGCCATGTAACATGTGCCTTTGCTTCTCCTTTGCCTCCAGCCATCATTATGCAGGCTCCCCAGCTATGTGGAACTGTGAGTCCATTAAACCTCTTTCCTTTATAAGTTACCCAGTCTCGGGTATGCCTTTATTAGCAGCAAGAGAACAGACTAATACAGTAACTTGGTACTGGTAGAATAAATTGGTACTGGTATTGATATTGGTAAATTGCTGCTGTATAGATACTCAAAAATGTGGAAGTGACTTTGGAACTCGGTAACAGGCAGAGGTTGGAACAGTTTGGAGGGCTCAGAAGAAGACAAAAAAATGTGGGAAAGTTTGGAACTTCCTAGAGACTTGTTGAATGGCTTTGAAAAAAATGCTGATAGTGATATGGACAATAAAGTCCAGGCTGAGGTGGTCTCAGATGGAGATGAGGAACTTATTGGGAACTGTAGCAAAAGTGACTCTTGCTATGTTTTAGCAAGGAGACTGGTGGCATTTTGCCCCTGTCCTAGAGATTTTTGGAATTTTTAACTTGAGAGAGATGATTTAGGGCATCTGATGGAAGAAATTTCTAAGTGGCAAAGTGTTCAAGAGGTGACCTGGGTGCTGCTAAGAGTATTTTGTTTTATGTATGCACAAAGATATGGTTTGGAATAGGAACTTATATTTAAAAGGGAAGCAGAGCATAAAAGTTCAGAAAATTTGCAGCCTGATGATGCAATACAAAAGAAAAACCCATTTCCTGAGCAGAAATTCAAGCTGCTGAATAAATTTGCATAAGTGATGAGGAGCCAAATGCTAACCGCCAAGACAATGGGGAAAATATATCCAGGGCATGTCAGAGGTCTTCATGGCAGCCCCTCCCACCACAGGCCCAGAAGCCTAGGAGGAAAAAATGTTTTTGTGGGCCCAGCCCAGGGACTTGCTGCTTTGTGCAGTCTGGGTACTTGGTGCTCTGCATCCCACCTGTGGCTAAAAGGGGCCAACAAAGAGCTCAGGCCATTGCTTCAGAGGGTGCAAGCCCGAAGCCTTGTTGGCTTCCACGTGGTGTTGAGCCTGCAGGTGCACAGAAATCAAGAATTGAGGCTTGGGAACCTCCTCCTAGATTTCAGAAAATATATGGAAAGGCCTGGATGTCCAGACAAAAGTTTGCTGCAGGGGCAGAGCCCTCATGGAAAATTCCTATTAGGGCAGTGCAGAAGGGAAATGTGGGGTAGGAGCCCCCACACAGAGTCCCAATGGGCACTGCCTACTGGAGCTGTGAGAAGAGTGGCACCATCCTTCAGACCCCAGAATGGTAGATCCACTGACAGCTTGCACTATGCACCTGGAAAAACTGCAGACACTCAGTGCCAGCCTGTGAGAGCAACCAAGAGGGGGGCTGTACCCTGCAAAGCCACAGCAGCAGAGCTGCTCAAGGCCATGGGAATCTACTTCTTGCATGAGTTTGACCTGGAATGTGAGACACAGAGTCAAAGGAGATCATTTTCGAGCTTTAAGATATGACTACCCCTCCCCAGGATTTTGGACTTGCACGGGGCCTCTAGCCCTTTCGTTTTTGTCAATTTCTCCCATTTGGCACAGGTGTATTTACTCATTGCCTGTATCACCCTTGTACCTTGGAAGTAACTAAGTTGCTTTTGATCTTGCAGTCTCATAGGCTGAAGGGACTTCCCTTCTCTCAGATGAGACTTTGGAACTGTGGACTTTTGAGTTAATGCTGAAATGAGTTAAAGCTTTAGGGGACTGTTGGGAAGGCATGATTGGTTTTGAAATGTGAGTACATGAGATTTGGGAGGGGCTGAGGCAGAATGATATGATTTGGCTGTGTCCCCACCCAAATCTTACCTTGAATTGTAATAATCCCCATGTGTCAAGGTTGGTGCCAGGCAGAGATAATTGAGTCATGGGGGTGGTTTCCCCCACACTGTTCTTGTGGTGGTGAATAAGTCTCATGAGAGCTGATGGTTTTATAAACGGGAGTTCCCCTGCACAAGCTTTCTTGCCTGCCACCATGTAAGATGTGCCTGTGCTTCTCCTTTGCCTTCTGCCATGATTGTGAGGGCTCCCCAGTCATGTAGAACTGTGAGTCCATTGAACCTCTTTTCTTTATAAATTACCCAGTCTCAGGTATGTCTTTATTAGCAGCATGAGAACAGACTAATACACCTCCAGAAACTGGAAATTCCTGGGCCCAGAACCCAACCATCTGATTCAGCCCATATAGGGTGGGGGCCCAGGAATCTGTCTTTGATAAGGCCTCCCGGGTGATTCTGACAGTCCAGTTGCAGGCCCACTGCATCAGGGCATGGGGACTACAGGCCTCCTTCCCCTTTGTTTGATTTGCACCCAGAGCTGGAAAAGACTGAACCTCTGAGAGATATGAAAAGGCTTCCATTGGAGGTTTCTGTAAATAGCACAACTGCATGTTTTGTCATAAATCAGTAAGTCTAGGATGTGGAAAAAATATATCTTGGGATCCATGGCCTTGCATGTGTCCTGGGAGATTTTAGAGCCAGGCTCTGCACAACCCGAAGTCAAGAAAGGGCATGACTCTTGGGAGTGACAACTTGTTGGAAGCGGATTCCAACCATGCTTCCCATTTGGCCTGAGCTGAGAGCTAGCAGTTTCCCTACTCGCAGGACACCAAGCAACAAGAACAAAGAAATTGCTCCACCAAGGCTATCTACTTATGAAGATGAAAAGCTGTTAGAAAGTGGTTAGGATTAGATCAGCCAACGTGAGTGGCCTCTTGAGGAGAAGCCAACCTGGAATGAGAGATGAAGGGTTCTTGTTGAATCTTCTAAGAGAAGGGCCCTCTGAGGGCCCCCATCTATCCCCATCATAAGCAATGTCTAAATAAATTGTGCTAGATCCTGTTGTAGTTTCCAAATATTTGCCATTTTTCCAGCAAAAAGTTGATATTAATATTTCCCAACTGCTGCCATCAGGCTTGGCCACGTGGCTTGCTCCAGCCAATAACGTGAATGAAATTGATTTGCCACCTTCTTGCAGGTGCATGATTCTACCATCTTTTTTCCTTCCTTTGCCTCAAGACCAGCACATTCCAGATTGGGCCTGCTCCTATGTCTGGGTGCCAGAATGAAGAAGACATGGAGGAGAGCTGCAGCCAACCTATGAAGGACACATAACACAGCAAGAAATAAACGTCCTTTGTTATAAGAACATGAGTGTGGGGCCATTGGTTACCATAGCATAACCTAGCCAAAGTTGACTAATAAATAGTTTTTTAGAATTGTAAAAAAATTATAGCAATATTAAAGTGATTTTTTTAAAGAAAAGCAACTCTTAATTTACTTTCTAGCCTTGGTTAAATAGTTTTAATTTCCACAGATGCTCACATGCTAATGTGCTGAAACAGACATTACACTTTAGGCTGCGTCTCCCCCAAACTTCTTCCCTAGAAGGAGCCTGGTGTTGGAGGAGGATCTCACTCCACTGCTAGAGAAGGCCAAGGAAGAGATGGTCTGTGGAGCCAATGCCCAGCACAGGGCAGTCTGTTGTCAGTGAAGTGAAACAGAGCACTCGCCACCACTCAATTCCTGGAAAAAGCAGTGCCAGGCTGTTTCTCTTCCTACAAACAATCTATCATGCCTGTTGACTACTCTGCCAAGGAAAGGCTGAATATCAGCTCTGTTCCATGATCTCCCATTTCCTGAAGTCTCAGTCCTAACAGAGGTTGTGAACCTGCATGTGGTAAGGTAGAATTTCTGGGAATTTAGTAGCAAACAATGCAAGCATTGCCTCTGCCCTCTTGGAGCCTATGCTCTAGTGGAGTCTGATGGAATGAATGCATTTAATACATATTAAATAATTACAAAGTGAGTAAGGCCCACTGAAGCAACAAACCAGACACTTGTAATAGATTGAAAGGGCAGAGGCAGCAGAAGAAAATCTATTTAATACAGACGTTTTCAAACATTAGTGAATCATGAATTCTATTTAGATGTTTATAGCCAGATTTTTAAGAAAATGAAATAGAAATGAATGGAGTTGAATAAAATAGGAATCATTGGAGTGCATCACATGTGTTGTCAATATTGCTTTATAAAACTCATTTCTGGGCCAGGCACGGTGGCTCACGCCTGTAATCCCAGCACTTCGGAAGGCCGAGGCGGGCGGATCACGAGGTCAGGAGATCGAGACCATCCTGGCTAACACGGTGAAACTCCATCTCTACTAAAAATACAAAAAAAAAAAAAAAAAATTAGCCAGGCATAGTGGCAGGCACCTGTAGTCCCAACTACTCAGGAGGCTTAGGCAGGAGAATGGTGTGAACCCGGGAGGCGGAGCTTGCAGTGAGCAGAGATCGCACCACTGTACTCCAGCCTGGGCAACAGAGCAAGACTCCGTCTCAAAAAAAAAAAAAAACTTATTTCTGTTGTATATATGTATTATATATTTGTGCAGTAACTGGCTCATAATATAAAATGTGTTGTTATAGTGAATTGTGGTAAAAACAAATTTGAAAAACCTAATTTACAATATGGCTTCAGAGAATCAACTCTGGGGAAGACATTACAGTGAACTGGCTGACTTGATAATTGTTTTTTTATTTACTAGTGAAACTTAATGCTCATGCTTGTACTTCTAAAATGAAACAATAAAAATTAAAACCAATCTTTTATTAAAGGAAGCAAAAGTGTTATGAGTTGCTCTTTTCAAATATTGATTCTACTATTTTGAATAGAAATATGTCTTAAGTTGTAAATGTTAGTTAATAATAGTAGGTCATTAACAGCCCTCTTCAGAACTTACTGGCAATAATGAAATGTGCTTCCTGTGTTTCAGAAATAGTGTTTTTTTTTCTTTTTTAGAGCAAGCCAAACTTTGCCTTCAACCTCATCTCATTTGCAAGCTACTCTCATATAGCTAAGAATTTGGTATTAAAAATAGGCACAGGCCTTAAAACACAAGAGTTTAGATTTAGTTTCCATGTTTTCTGCTTATTCACAGAAATATTGACTGATTGATTGATTGAGACAGGGTCTCACTCTGTCGCCCAGGCTGGAGTGCAGTGCTACGATCATGGCTTACTGTAGCCTCAATGGCCTGAGCTGAAGCAGTCCTCCTACCTCAGTCTCCCGAGTAGTTGGGACCATAGGTGTGTGCCACCACACCTGGCTAATTTTTAAAAAATTTTTCATAAAGATGGAGTCTCACTATGTTGCCCAGGCTGGTCTTGAACTCCTGGGCTCAAGCGCTCCTCCCACCTCCCAAAGTGCTGGGATTACAGGCATGAGCTACCACATCCAGTCTAGAAATATTTATTTAATAAAATAAATATTAATGGGTAGTACCAATCCGTAATTTGTACTATCTTAATCCCTGTGGCAATTAAAAAACAGAGATGGCAATACAACTTGTAGGCTATTGAACATATTCATTTTTCATAATTACTTGTTTTTTTCAGGTGGGTAAATTGCAAAAAACATAGGTAAAGAGTTCTATACTTTCTGGAAAAGACTTCCACCTTGGGATTGAGACAGTTTTGAACACAAAAGAAAACAAATTTTTTTCTCCAAGTACATGGTCTGTCATTTATCAGATTTAAGAAGTCTTGGGACATCTTTTGACAACATTTTCTCCAATGCATCCATGGAATCAAAGGACTTTTCAACTTGTTTGGGGGTAGATTTTTTGGTCTAAAGTTGGAAACATATGTCTTCTTTCAATAGAACAGTGGATGTCTGCACACGTATTTTTCAATGTTTACACCTACAAGTCTATGCACATTCAAGACATTGGCAACAGTGGTGTTATTGGCAAGGGTGGTTGGGATAGTTCCTTTTCACCATATACCTGTAGTATATGCCACAGGTTAGCTGTCAACTCCCATTCCAATGCATGTTTTCCTTTGCCTTCTTCACTGTGGATCAAAAAAGCTAAGAACTTACCTTTCAAGACCCCCTTGTGGCCAGGTGTGGCCATGAGATGTCAGCAGCAAATATCTTTTGGTCCTTTGCTCTTTGGCCTTTGGTCTTCCCTCTTCCTTCATCCTGGAATGCCAACATGATACTTGGAGTTCCAGCAGCCTTGGGAACAAAATCCACACATTAAGGGCAGCAAAGCAGGAGACAAGTGGTTCCTTAAGTAGCTTGCAAGTCTTATTCTACTGCTGAAATCCTAGTTGTGAGAAAAATAATTCTCCCAAGATGTTGAATTTATTGCTTGTAAGAAGTAATGCAAAGTTGAAAGTAATCCTAACATTTGGTCGGTTTCTTTTTTCTTTTCAAAGTTTAGACCAAGTGCATGTATTACCTACTTTAAAAATAATAAAATTCTAAAAACAATGTAAAGTGTATATATAAATCTTTGTTGTATTTCTTAGATTTTTGAATAGTTCAAAAAACCTCTGTTTGGCTTTTTTATGACCTAAGTCTTTAGGTTATCAAAAAGTTATTCTAGTCTTTATCTTGACAAAGTAGTATAAGATAATATGCAGTGGTAGAGAAATATAGCTTTTGCAATATTCCCAAGTAAACACCTGAAAGCAAAGTTACCACCTGGTCCAGCAGCCAGTTGAGTTGGTGACATGCAAGAAGGCCCTACAGCCACCTGAATTCCTCTGTCAGAAGAGCTACCTTTGTTTTATTTGACAATCTTTGGACATCAGATGTAAGACAACCGCCCTGGAGTGTGAACTCTGGAGATACAAACTTATCAGACAATTTCTATTTCATTCAAGATGGCATGACTTTCATACACCAGCATCTGAAATTGTCTGAGATACTGACAACGAATGTGTAGGGACATTCACCAGGGAGCTGAGATTTTTATTTTGAGCTCTTTAAAACAGTGCCCCCCAGTGGTATGCAATAGAAAAAAAAAATCACAAGATTAATATATCCACATTGTTGGTGCAAACAGAACCCATTCCTGCTAGAATGAGCTGAAAAAGAGGCTAAGCATGGTGGCTCACATGTATAATCCTAGCACTTTGGCAAGCTGAGGTGGGAGGATCACTTGAGCCCAGGAGTTCAAGATCAGCCTGGGCAACATAATTAGACCCTGTCTCTATAAAGAATAAAAAAAAATTAGTTGGGCGTGGTGGTGCACACCTGTGGTCCCAGCAACTCGGGAGGCTGAGGCAGGAGGATTGCTTGAACCTGGAGGATTGCTTGAGCCCAGAAAGTTGAGGTTGCAGTGAGCTCTGATGACACCATTGCACTCCAGCCTGGGTGACAGAATGAGACCCTGTTTATAATAATAATAATAAAGAAACAGAAAAAGTATATATTAAGGGTATTATTTGTCCCACTACTAGCTCAAAGTACAAATGGAAAAGCCAACCATTCCTCAAGAAACATCACTCCCCAGTTGAAGTGGAATTCCAAATGTTATAATCAATATGTGTTGACTACGAATGTGAATAGTGCCCCTGTGAACTTGTGCAATGTACACCTACACCATCCATATGTAGCCCTGGATATTAAGTGGTTCAAATAATTTCTGGAAAGGTTCAAGAATCAAGCTTGGAAGCCACACAGTCATCAACCATTCCCAAAATTATACTGCAGGTTTGCTATATGGGAGACCTAGAGTCACTGCTGCTTGGCATAGACACCACATATGATCGATGAAGACTGGGCCACTTATGTACATCCTAGCTGCAAGAGATGCTGGGGAAGCAAGTTCTTGGAGTCAACTTGGGGAGGTGCTGACTCATGAAGTTGGAAATCCCTAAATTTAGGAAGGTATTTGTGATGGTGAATTTTAATGTGTCATCTTGACTGGGCTAATGGATGCCCAGATAGCTATTAAATATTATTTCTGGGTGTGTCTGTGAGGATGTTTCTGGAAGAGATTAGCATTTGAATCGGTAGACTGAGCAAAGAAGATCACCTTCATCTATGTGAGTGGAGTGGGCATCATCCAATCTGTTGAGGGCTTGAATGGAGCAAAAAGACAGTGGAAGGCAAATGTGTTCTCTGCTGGAGCTGGGCCAACCAGCTTCTCCTGTCCTTGGACATCAGCATTCCTGGTTCTTGGGTCTCTGGACTCAGATTGGGCCTTATGTCATTGGCTCTCCTGCTCTTGGGCCTTCAGGCTTGGACTGGATTACACCACTGGCTTTCCTGGGCCCCCAGCTTGCAGACAGCAGACTGTGGGACTTCTCAGCCTTCATAATCGCATGAACCAATCCCTCATAATCTCAATTACTCCCCCCACCCTCTCTCTATATGTATGTGTATATAAAATTTATTGGTTTTGTTTCTCTCAAGAACCCTGACTAATGTAGGGTTCAAAGGCTTTGGGGATCATTCTAAAAGCAAGACGAAAGACAAATGTCCACCAGAGCTTGCAAATACTGTATTTATCAATCCCTCCTCTTCTTGGCATAGTTTCTTTCAAACTTCTTAGTGTCCTCTTCCCATTATTACAAACTTCTCGTTTCTTCTAAGGTCCTTCTAAATTGGTGAGTTCTCAGTGGGAGTTGAGTGACCTTTTCCCTCAGTGTGACTATCACTGCCCAATGTCATTGATACATTATACAACTCCCCATCCCCACTTCCCCTCAGCTCCTGTTAACCACCATTCTTTCTGTCTCTATGAATTTGACTACTCTAGATTCCCCATGTAAATGGAATCATACAGTATTTGTCTTTTTGTGACTAGCTTATTTCACTTAACATAATACTCTCAAGGTTCATCCATTTTGTAGCATCTGCCAAAATTTCCTCCCTTTTAAGGCTGAACAGTATTCCATTGTACGTAGATACTGCATTTTGCTTTTCCATTCACACAAAGAGAGACACTTGGGTTGTTTCCGCCTCTTGGCTATTGTGTATAATGCTGCTACCAGCATGGGGTACAAATATGAGAAGTGAGGTTTAGGATCGTGTGAGGAGGATCACTTGTAGAGGGAAAATAGTGAAATAGGACGACCAGATAGGCTCTGTTGGAACTCGCGCCCATTGTTTTAAGACGCAGCTCAAATGTCACCTGGTTTTAGAAGTCTTCCTGGTCTCCGCAGGCAGTCAGTATCTCTTTCCTAAATCCACCACATTCCCGTAGACAGACACCACATTTATGCAAATCTCCTTCTCACAGACAGTGAGTTCCATGGGGGTCCCCTGGCAGCCTCCAGCCCTGTACCATGCTAACTCTTCCGGAGAGGAAATGGGGCCTCGGGAGAGCCTTTGAAGCCTGTGTTGGTACAGGCTGTCCTTCCAGCTAACGGGGCTCTCTGGGGAATGTATGTTTGACTTTCTATTCCCGGTAATATAAGTTCAAATGTTTGTGGATATTTGAAGCTCGGATGAAAGCGTTTCTATTCATGCCCCTAGAATCTGTGAGGCCTTTTCTTTCTTTTTTTTTTTTTAAACAAGAGCCCACAGCAAAACTTGGGTTACTTGGCTGAGGAAAGGAATGTAGAGCTAGGAGCAGGGTTTCATCTTCAGCCCCAGTCGGGCAAACCAGTGGCAGAAGGGAAAGCAGAGCCCAGGGGTCCCCATCCCGTACCTGGGGCGCAGGCCCCGCTGGGGTGGGAGGGAGAGTGGAGGGCCGGGCAGGCTGCAGCCGCGGATGGCTGCCCCCCCTGCCCCGGTGTTACTGGGAGGACGGAGGTTGCGACAGCAGCCGAGCCCACCCAGTTGCAGCCGGCTCGGGGCTTAGGGCAGGGGCGGGAGGTGACCACCGCGCCGCTGGCCGCCTCGCCCAGACATTCCGTTTCTGCCGCTGGAATGCGCGGACAAGGCTCCTTGTTGGCCTTGGGCGGGGTTCGCCGGGCCGGCCTGGCGCTCGAGGCCCCGGGGCGGGGCGGGGCCCGAGGCCGCGGGACCTTTAAATCCGAGCCTCGCGTGGGCTCCTGGCCCCCGACGGACACCACCAGGCCCACGGAGCCCACCATGCCGCGCCCGGCCCCCGCGCGCCGCCTCCCGGGACTCCTCCTGCTGCTCTGGCCGCTGCTGCTGCTGCCCTCCGCCGCCCCCGACCCCGTGGCCCGCCCGGGCTTCCGGAGGCTGGAGACCCGAGGTCCCGGGGGCAGCCCTGGACGCCGCCCCTCTCCTGCGGCTCCCGACGGCGCGCCCGCTTCCGGGACCAGCGAGCCTGGCCGCGCCCGCGGTGCAGGTACAGGCGGGCGGCGGGAGGGACGCGTGAGCATCGAACGAGGAGAAGCCCAGGGCATCCACCAAGCGCGCTTCATCCCGGCCTCAGGCCGACCGTGGTGCGGGGGAAAGAGGCCCCTCCCGGATGAATCCTGTGGGGGAAACTGAGGTCCAGAGAAGGGGAGGGAGATGCCCAATATCACTCATGTGTCCAGGCTAGAGATGTGGGTCTCCTGAAGCTCTCACTCCCCTGTGATTCGGCCAGGAGCACAGGGCAGCTGGGGAGCGCAGGGGCTGCTGCCCAGCGGCTGCTGCTAAGCTCCGTCCCAGTCCTGACCTCTCCATTCAGTGAGCAAACCCTTCCTGAGACTCTGCTGTTAGTTCTCTTGGAATCTCTCCATCTCCATCCAATATCAGGGCGTGATCTTTCCTCCCCTCCCACAGTCCTCAGGCTGCCTCAGACTGGAAGGTAAGGGATGCGGGTGTGAGACCAGGAGGAGATCCGAGGAGCCGTAGGATACCCCAGGATCAAGACACTCTGGGTCTTTGGCGAACAATTCTATTTCTCTTTTTGGTCAGCAATTGATTCCTGAAGCAGAGCAAAGCTCATAGTGCAGCGAAGCGGGCAGGTCGTCTGACACAGCCCCTGACAGCACATGAAGGGAAACTGAGGCATATCAAGTTGAAGGGACTCTGTGAATCAGTATCAGAGGCCACAATAAAATTCAGGGCTCCGAAATCCCAAGCAAGGTCTCTTTCCACTGCCCCAGCCTACCAACCTCTTAATATGGTTTACATAAGATTGTATCTTCATTTCCAAAAAGCGCAGCTTCAGTCTTGCTAAAAAGAGTCTGTGCCAGGCCATTTCTGGGTATGCAGTCTCATTTGGCCAGCCACGCTGCATGCCTCAGGCTGATTTCAATTGTCTATCCCCTTCTGCATCTTTCTGGATAAGCTGAGAAGGAGCTCAAGGGACTCTTTCCTGACTCAAATACTCAGTCCCCGTATTTGAAGTGGCAGATTTGAAATGGCAAAAGCATTGCTGCTAAGGCAGGAGGTACCGGGGTCCACAGGGCTAGATTCAGCTGGTGGCTGGTTGCTCCAGGCCGGGAATTGAGGGAAAGCCTTTCTTCTGGAAGTTAATCTTACTCTAGTCCTGACCTGCCTCCCTCTGGGATGGGACTGGAAGAGGAAGGAGAGATTCAGCACCAGGTGGCCATGTCCCCCTAAGCTTTACTGGTCTTTCATTACCTAGAGTCCGAACCTGATCATGAATGATAACCCATTAATAAATGCGAGATTCCACCCTGTTCCAAATTATCTCCTTTTAGCAACCAGAAATTGCTAAGCTTCGCTATGGATTTTTATTTCTAGCAGGACTGTAAGGACTCAGTGGTATTATGAGTATGGGAACATTTTAGGAGATTCAGATTCTTTCTTTGTTCTTGGGAATCAAATTGCTGCTATTTAGTAAATGGGAGTGAGATTCAAAAACAACTAATGATTGATGCGGAGTACCAGTCAGGAAGGAACCAGATGTTCACAGAATTTTCTGCCACCATGGTCAAGCCTCAGGTATTAGTTTTCTATGGCCACTGTAACAAATTACTGTGAATTTAGTGCCTTAAGACAACACACATTTATTACCTGAGAGTTCTGTGGGTCAGAAGTCTGACCCTGGTCTCACTGGGCTAAGATGAAGGTGTCGGCAGGGCTGTGTTCCTTTTGGGAGGCTCTAGGGGAGACTGCATTTCCCTTCCCTTTCCACCGCATGAAGGCTGCTGAGTTCCTTGGCTTATGGCCTTTTTCTTCCATTTTCAGAGCCAGCTAAAGCAGGTTGAGGCCTTCTCCCATTGAGTTACTCACATTTCTTTCATCTGCCTCCCTCTTCTACTTTATAATTACATTGACTCACTGAATAATCCAGGATAACCTCTTGTGTAGAGCTCTTTGACTTAATCACACCTGCAAAGTCTCTGCTCTTTGCCACGTAAAAGTAACATGTCTCTGGAATTAGGACGTGGACGTCTTTGGCGGGGGACATTATTCTGCATACCACACCCCGAATAGAGGATTCGGTGTGAATAACCAAGTGGAGAAGGAAAGAATCATGCACGTTTAGTTATAAGAACATAGCCATGATATTTATAAGGACACCATTTGGGTGCTGGTGAAAGCACTGTCAATTACAGAGTTCATATCTTCATGTTACCCCCACCTTTTCTTTTTCTAATTATACAAAAATACTTTGACCCATCTCCAGGAAAGATTTTCAACATAATTCTTCTTCCTAGCTCTAGATCTATGGGACTTTCCAGGAATGAAGTAAAATTCTGGAGGTTTTTTTTTTTTTTTTTTTTTTTAGTATTTGAAGAGATTTATTCTGAGACAAACATGAGTGACCATGGTCTGTGACACAGCCCTCAAGAGGTCCTGAGTACATGTGCTCAAGATGGTCAGGGTGCAGCTTGTTTTTATACAATTTAAGGAGGTATGAGACATCAATCAAATACATTTAAGAAATACATTGGTTTGGTCCTAAAAGGTGGGACAACTCAAAGCCGGTGGTGGTGAGGGGCTTCCAGGCTATAGGTAAGTTTAAATATTTTCTGGTTGATAATTGGTTGCATTTGCCTAAAGACCTGGGATCCATAGAAAGGAAATGTTCAGGTTAAGATAAAAGACTGTAAAGACCAATGTTCTTTTGAAGTCTTATAGTGGCTACCCTTAGAGACAATAGATGACAAATGTTTCCTATTCAGATCTTTTTAAAAAATTATTATTATTTTACTTTAAGTTCTGGGATACATGTGCAGAATGTGCAGGTTTGTTACATAGGGATACATGTGCGCTGGTGGTTTGCTGCACCCATCAACCCATCATCTAGGTTTTAAGCCCCACATAGATTAGGTATTTGTCCTAATGCTCTCCCTCCTCTTGCCCCCCACCCCCTGACAGGCGCTGGTGTGTGATGTTCCCCTCCCTATGTCCATGAGTTCTCATTGTTCAACTCCCACTTATGAGTGAGAACATGTGGTGTCTGGTTTTCTGTTCCTGTGTCAGTTTGCTGAGAATGACGGCTTCCAGCTTCATCCATGTCCCTGCAAAGGACATGGACTCATTCTTTTTTATGGCTGCTGGAGTTGTTTTTTTTTTTTTTAAAGAAAGAAAGAATTTTGATTCCTTTTTTTTTTTTTTGGCTTTTAGAGACTGGGTCTCATTCTATCATCCAGGCTGGAGTGCAGTGGTGTGATTGTGGCTCACTGCAGCCTTGACTCTCTAGCTTTAAGCGATCCTCCTGCCTCAGCCCCCTAAGCAGCTGGGACTACAGGTGCCTGCCACCATGCCTGGCTAATTTTTAAACTTTTTATAGAGATGAGGTCTCCCTATGTTGCCCAGGCTGGTCTAGAACTCCGGAGCTCAAGTGATCCTTCTCCCTCAGCCTCTCGAAGTGTTGGGATTACAGGCGTGAGCCACTGCGCCTGGGTTTAATTCCTTTTGACTTAACTAAATGCATGACATACAGCATATTTCAGGGCGGTGACTTAAAGTCAACAAGCAGGATGTTTACTGAATACATGAGAGAATGTTGATTTTTGTGGAGGAAAATGTTGCCTCAGAGAGAGGTAACTGGGATTCAGTAGCAAGCTCCCAGGGACTGGGAGTCAGGAAACCTGGAGTCCAATCCATGCTCTACCACTTTCTAGTTCTCACACCTCCTTGAACCTCAGGTTTCTCACCTGTAAAATGAATATAAAAACCACCTCTGCACCTCCAGCCTCACAGGTTGATGTGTTGGTACCTTGCGATTCCTAAAGTGTTACTGAAAGGAAGATTTTCTTTTTGTTAATTAAATACCTCCAAGCAGCAGGCTAAAAACAAGAAGATAATTTTCTGCTTTTAAAAGAAAACTAGACAGAGACATAAGGTAGGCTGTTCCAGGTAAGGCTTTAATTTTTTTCTATAAACTGCTTAGTCTAGGCATTAATTTTGAATCACCTTTTTTTCCTACTAAGTATTACCTTCCTAGAGTAGCATCAACTTCTGCCTCCTTATTAGGAAAGGAAAGAGCCTTGAGTGACACTTCATGCCCCAGGACCTCATTTCCATTTAGGGCTGCATGCGTGTGTTGGGTGAGAAGGGGGAATGACTTGAAAAAGAAGTTTAGGGCTGGGCACAGTGGCTCACACCTATAATCCCAGCACTCTGGGAGGCCAAGGTGGGAGGATCACCTGAGGTTGGGAGTTTGAGCCCAGCCTGGCCAACATAGTGAAACCCCGTCTCTATGAAAAATACAAAAATTAGCTGGGTGTGGTGGCGCACACCTGTAGTCCCAGCTACTCAGGAGGCTGAGGCAGGAGAACTGCTTGAACCCAGGAGGTGGTGGTTGCAGTGAGCCAAGATTGCACCACCGCACTCCAGCCTGGGTGACAGAATGAGACTCCGTCTCAAAAAAAAGAAAAAGAAGTTTAATAATTGGCTTTTTTTCTTGTCTCATCCTGACTTGTGGATTTGATTTTTGTATCGAGGAGAGAGGGTGTGCAAACAGGGGTTGGGGGAAACAGGAAAGAACAGGAAAGAATAGATGAACACTAAAATGTACTGTGATACTAAACTGTTAGGTACTTTTGTGTAGAAAAGAGATAAATTCTTTGAAGGTGGGAAATCTGGCTATCTGGTTTATATGCTTTTGTAGCTCCAGGGCTTCATACATGTAGGCCCTCAAAAAATGTTTTTGGTGAATGAATAAGTCAAAAGAGAGATGACCAAGAGAGTTAGTTGGGGCAGTAGGGTAGATACCAGATCACAATCCCTGCTTCTTACGAGACATGCTCATGAAGCTGGAAGCTCACTAAACAGATACAAGATTAAGTTGGCATCCCTCATTCTACTTTTTTTTTGAGATGATGTCTTGCTCTTATTGCCCAGGCTGGAGTGCAATGGCAGGATCTCAGCTCACTGCAACCTCCACCTCCCGGGTTTAAGCGATTCTCCTGCCTCAGCCTCCCGAGTAGCTGGGATTACAGGCACATGCCACTACGACCCGCTAATTTTTGTATTTTTAGTAGAGACAGGGTTTCACCAAGTTGGCCAGGCTGGTCTCAAACTCCTGACCTCAGGTGATCCTCCCGCCTCGGCCTCCCACAGTGTTGGGATTACCAGGCGTGAGCCACCGCGCCCGGGCCCCTCTTTCTACTTACTTTTTTTTTTGTTTTGTTTTTTGAGACGGAGTCTCGCTCTGTTGCCCAGGCTGGAGTGCAGTGGCGTAATCTCAGCTCACTGCAAGCTCTGTCTCCCAGGTTCACGCCATTCTCCTGCCTCAGTCTCCCGAGTAGCTGGGAATACAGGCACCCACTACCACGCCCGGCTAATTTTTTGTATTTTTAGTAGAGACGGGGTTTCACCGTGATGGTCTTGATCTCCTGACCTCTTGATTTGCCCGCCTTGGCCTCCCAAAGTGCTGGGATTACAGGCATGAGCCACCACGCCTGGCTCTACTTTAAATTAGTTCAGGGCTCCAGTGAGCCCCCAAATTCACTAAACAGGAAAGATGGCCAGATGGAGGGAGAATTCAGGGATACTCTGGAGCAGTTTTCAGCCCCTTGGAAGTGGAGTAAAAGAGGGGGGCCACCAGAAGAGCCCCTGAGTGCCTTGCCTCAGACTACCATTGCCTGAGGCTTGGGCACAGTGGTTGGCAGTGAGGCTGTCCCTGAGGGCCCAAGGCCTTTTACATGGTTCAGGGACACATTGTCCAATTGCTCCAGATAGCCAAGGTACTTAAGAAATGTGTAGAATCTATTAATTCCCAGGAATCATGAGGGCCCTTGGGAGCAAAAGCTTAAGCAGAGGGATGAGGTTCTAAGTGAAATTTCAGGATTCAGCCAGCCTGCAGGTGAGGTATTTGGGGAAACTTCACACCTCCAGGTGAATTCTCACTAGGGAATTCTGAAGTCCTTGGTGCTTTCAACACCCCGATGGTCTTGGGGAAGGTCGCAGGCAGTGGTGATGTTGGGGTCAGGAGATGCTGCCTTGCCTGGCCTCCTGGAATCCCAGAGTTCTCTGGAAGTGAGGATTACTGCATTTCTAATTGTGGTCTGATCATTGCTTGGTCTTTTGCAGGTGTTTGCAAGAGCAGACCCTTGGACCTGGTGTTTATCATTGATAGTTCTCGTAGCGTACGGCCCCTGGAATTCACCAAAGTGAAAACTTTTGTCTCCCGGATAATCGACACTCTGGACATTGGGCCAGCCGACACGCGGGTGGCAGTGGTGAACTATGCTAGCACTGTGAAGATCGAGTTCCAACTCCAGGCCTACACAGATAAGCAGTCCCTGAAGCAGGCCGTGGGTCGAATCACACCCTTGTCAACAGGCACCATGTCAGGCCTAGCCATCCAGACAGCAATGGACGAAGCCTTCACAGTGGAGGCAGGGGCTCGAGAGCCCTCTTCTAACATCCCTAAGGTGGCCATCATTGTTACAGATGGGAGGCCCCAGGACCAGGTGAATGAGGTGGCGGCTCGGGCCCAAGCATCTGGTATTGAGCTCTATGCTGTGGGCGTGGACCGGGCAGACATGGCGTCCCTCAAGATGATGGCCAGTGAGCCCCTAGAGGAGCATGTTTTCTACGTGGAGACCTATGGGGTCATTGAGAAACTTTCCTCTAGATTCCAGGAAACCTTCTGTGGTAAGTTGGTCAGTCTTTGCTTCCAACTAGAAAGGATGTTATATTCAGACATTGTGTACCCAGAGAAAAGAGTATTATTCTTTTTTGGTGGAAATTTAATGAAAAACTTAAATATATCCAATGCGTGTGTGTGTGTGCACGTGTGCATGCGCGCGTGTGTGCGACCAACCTAAACACACTCTATTGGTTTAGGAATATAGAGCTGCATTATATGGAACTTGGTTTGCTCATAAAATCTTCATGTTTGCGTTAGAACTGTGAAGGTCTGCAAATATCCAGGATAAATGACCCTGCTGTTCCCTGTCAGGGTCAGGAAAAACAAAACTCAAGATGCCTCTCCTGTCCCCTCTGCCCCACCACTACATTTTTTTCCCCTGATACATATTTTTTTAGTTTTACCATCTCTAGATCTAACAGAACTCTGTTTGTTCTCCTGCAGAAGACAGGGAGAAGCGTCTGTCCTTGGGAGAGTCAGCAGGCCTCTATTCCAATGTCACCGTCAGCCCGAGTGTGCATTTAGTGAATGCTCTGGTTTTCAGACTGGGCTGTTTATCTGATTACTCTTTGTTGAAGAACAGGATTCAGGGACCAGGCAGATTAGGGTTTCAGCTCACTTGAAAGAAAGCAAGATGATCTTAAGAAATCATTCTGTTAACTCTGCTACTCCTTCCATCCTTTAGGATGGAATTTGAATAAGGACATGCTAATTTTATTGGAATTTTTAGCATGAATTGACCAAATCTAGGACTACAGATCCATTCAATGCTGGAGTTTAATTTTAGTCACTGATCAGAATTATGATCTGTGGGACTCATGCTTTATTTTTTTATCATCTGGAGATAATCTTTTGTTCCCTCTATGTGAATATCCAAGCAGTTGTGGACAAATTTCTAGTTCAGGTGAATTTTTAAACATAGATATCTTTTTGCAATATAATTTATTTCACACTTATTTATTCAGCATGCATTTATTGATCTCTGATGATACAAAGATAAAGGTAATCCCTCCATACCATTAAGTAACATTCTGGGGGTGGGGGTGAGACAAACAAATGAACCAATAATTAATTACAATTATACATTTCAAGGAGACTTTTAATCTAGGTTAATGTGAAACGCAGCCATCAATGGTTTGTCAGGAAAAGGGAGATGAAGTCTTGCTCTGGGGCAACGTTTGGCCTCATTGCAGTCAGACTTGGCTGGGATCCCCTTGTCTTTCCTGTCCCAGGACACTGGGCTTTCACAAGCCATCACTGGCTTTGGTGGCATCTACTTGGCATTCGTTGGCTTCCAAAAAGAAAGTGGCTTTCTTTCTCCCAGGAAATCACCCTCCCACTCCATGCTTGTGGGTGAGAGCCTCTCCATCAACATGCTGGTCTGTGGCAAAGTTGGGTTTCAAAGCTAGCACCTGGGGTTGGGCTTCGAAGGCTATAAAGTAACAAGTGGTGAGTGGCAATCTTTTCCTTCTGGTACAAAAGACCTGCTTGTTCTGGGGGAAAAACGTCCTCTCTATGGAAAAAAGACTGAGCGGCAGCTTGTTGTAGTCAACGGGTTGGAAAGATCATTCCATGAAAAGGCCCTTCTTGGGAAAATATTAGCCTTGTCCTGTTGCCAAGGGCAGTGGAGGTTGGGTTACCTGCCACAGGAGGGCCAGCCTCCTTCAACAGGCCTCCTTGGTTTCTCAGAAATGACTTAATTCATTGATTCATCTTTCAAAAGAGGTCACTAGGAAAAAAATATCCAATGAGATATAAATGGCTCCAGGAGCAATAAGATGGAGATGTAGTTTAGCTAATGTAATCTCATTTATTTTGTTCTTTTCTTTTTACCTGTTTGTATTAGCATATGAGTTCACTATGGATTTAGCGTATGGATGACTTCACCCACCTTACATATTCAGAAGACAGTTACCCGAACTGTCCTCTACCATTTGCATGTTCAAATATGTACCACTGCCCACCTGTGAGTTCGTTCTAGGCTTAGACCCAGACTTGTGTGAGAATTCTGTTTAGACATAGGCTATAGAACCTTGGAAATCAGATTCTGGCTACAATGGGACAACTAGCTCACGTCACTTCAGGCTGTGCATTTATTGTTCTCCCATTTCTTGTGGTGGGGAAGCACAAATCTTTTTTTCATGGGGAGGCGGATAAGCCAAATAAAACATCCAATTGCCTGGCCTATGTAAGTGTTTGGCTTCAGCTCCAAACTCCAAATTCCCTTTCTCCCTTGAGAAAGTCTATATAGCAAGATGTGTACTTTTAAATTAGCAACAATTTCTAGTTTAAGAGTAGCATTGCTAATAAGCCAGAGGCAGAAAACAAATAACCATTTTTTTATAGTGAAGTAAAGATGGACTCGGAAAGGAGCCCAGAGAGCAATGTCTATTGACATGGGAGACGGTATCTGAGATGTTTCCTAAGTGTCAGTGCTGACTGTTGTAAACTTCCTCTCACAGCGCTGGACCCCTGTGTGCTTGGAACACACCAGTGCCAGCACGTCTGCATCAGTGATGGGGAAGGCAAGCACCACTGTGAGTGTAGCCAAGGATACACCTTGAATGCCGACAAGAAAACGTGTTCAGGTGAGGCCTGTGTAGGGGGCCGTGACTGAATCAAATACTTGGGAACCTATGCTCCAGGTTTTGGACTGGCCTTGTGCTTTGACTCTCTGACCCCTTTTTACCTAACTGCCTTTTGGCTGGTTTACTGGTGTTCATCAGCAGTTTTCCCTGAAAAGGAGCTTAGGGAGAAAAGTGAAATGATAGATAAATCAGCTTATTTCCATACTTTGTAAGTTTTAAATAAAATCGTAGGAGAAAAGGCTACTAAGAAAGAGGTCCAGGCTGAGTGCAGTAGCTCATGCCTATAATTCCCACATTTTGGGAGGCTGAGATGGTAGGATAGTTTGAGGCTAATTCGAGATTAGCCTCGAGAACATGGTGAGACCCCATCTCTACAAAAAATAATTTAAAAAAAAAAGCCAGGTGTGGTGGTGCATGCCTGTAGTCCCAGTTACTTGGGAGGCCGAGATGGGAGGATTGTTTGAGACCAGGAGGTCGAGGCTGCAGTGAGCTATGATAATGCCTCTGCTGCACTGCCACAGAGGGAGACCTTCTTTCAGAAAACAGAACCCACACACACAAAAAGGAAAAGAAACGGGTCCAAGATTCTTAGCCCTTTTGAGGATTTGAAAATTTTCCTGGATTTTATTTCATTACATGCAAGCTACCCTCTTCCTCTCTAGTCATAGATGCTCATGGAATCTAGAAGTAGCAAAGAAGTTAGAGGGGTACTCACTGGTCTGGTACATAGATACATACATGGAGTCAATGAGGAATGGGAATTATATATTTTTTTGTTTTGTTTTTAATCCTAGAAAAAAGTTTTTGGGAGGAAGAAAGCTTAGAGATAACTTAATTTTATAGATAATGAAATTGAGATGGACAGAAGGGAAAAAACTTACCTATGTCACAGGGTCTCTTAGTGAAAGAGCCAAGACCGGAGGGTTGGTTCCCAACTCCCAGCTGCCCCTCCCTTGTTTCATTAGCTCTGTGTGTGTGTGTGTGTGTGTGTGTGTGTGTATAACTGTAAGTGGCGTGGCCCACAATTATTTCTGCCATGCTCTGCATGCATTTACATTTGTCCCAATCATCTTTTGATAGCTCTTGATAGGTGTGCTCTTAACACCCACGGATGTGAGCACATCTGTGTGAATGACAGAAGTGGCTCTTATCATTGTGAGTGCTATGAAGGTTATACCTTGAATGAAGACAGGAAAACTTGTTCAGGTAAGTGAGGGAGGAGTCTTTACTATTGCTACTTAGCTCTCTGCCTACCTACCCGGTGATGGAAGGGCAGGTCACATTGACTGGGAAGTTGGTGTGTTTTCCTCTCTTGCCACCTTGAGCTTTTCCCATTTTTAAGTCTTATCCAAAATGTTAGAAATGGTAACATGTATGTATCTCGGCCCAAATACATAAATATGTTGCTCATTTCCTTCTCTGTAGCCAGCCTGAACAATCCTTCCCAAATGCTACAGACAATTCAGTAGGTTGAAATCACATAACAACCCACAAGTTACCTGTTGCTTACAAAGGGAAAGACAGTAACTTTATAGTGGAGAAACTGGCAGACATCACCTTAACTAAGTGATCAAAGTTAACATCATCAGTGATGACACATAGTGACATCATGTATGACCTGACATGCTGTGCTCAATACTGTGGACACAACAGCACACCTGTAGTATTCTTGCTAAAAATTCAGGATTATGAGGAAAGATTAGAAAAACCTGAGAGACACTCTCAGTTCACAAAATAGTTTTCCAGTACTTCTCAGAAACGTGAAAGTCATAAAAGACAAAGAAAGACTTAGGAAGTGTCCCAGGTTGGAGAGGACGGAGATGTGAAACTGAATGCAATGTGGAATCCTGGATTGGATCCTGGACCAGAAAAAGGACATTAATGGCAACATTTGAATAAAGTCTGTAGATTAGTAAATCATATTATATCAATGTTAATTTCTGGTTTGATAATCATACTATGGTTATGTAAATTACTGTTTGGGGAAACAGGGTGAAGTACAGGAATTTTTTGCACTGTTTTTGCAACCTTTTCATAAATCTGAAATTATCTCAGATGAAAAGTTTAAAAGTAAAAAATAGTTTAAAAATATATCAGTAGAGAGGAAAGTGCATTGAATGAAAATGTGTGTCTTGAGTTTTTATGCTGCTCTGAATCAAATGGTCTCCCTCGCGCTCCTTTCCCTCATTTAAAAAATAGGAGAGGGTTGAACTACAATTTCTTCAAACTCTAATTCTATGTTTTTCTGAATCTAATGTAATTAGCCACACAACTGTTGGTATCCCGCTGAGTTGGGATAAGTACAATAAGCCTAAAAGGAATGCTAGAAAGTATTTATGAGATACTTAGGTTATAAAAACTCAATACTGATGATTTCCAAAAGCAATTGTGGAAGGTCAGAGAATAATTATTGTATGTGCAGGATTTCACTTAACTCAGTTAACTTCTAGTTAGAAAAAAACAGTGCCAATGGCTTTGAATAGTTTCCAGTAAGTTTTCCTCATATGTTTCCAGCTGCAAATAAGGTTTCTATCCTGGGTAATAAAATACTTTTCCACCTTCTATTTCTTTTCTCCTGACTTTTTGTTTCACAGCTCAAGATAAATGTGCTTTGGGTACCCATGGGTGTCAGCACATTTGTGTGAATGACAGAACAGGGTCCCATCATTGTGAATGCTATGAGGGCTACACTCTGAATGCAGATAAAAAAACATGTTCAGGTAAGATCCACTCAAAAAATTCTTTCATACTTGGGTCTTTCACATGAAACCAACTTGCAACTCACCAGCAAAGAGGTTTTTAAAGGTAACTTAAGATCAAGGTTCAGACATTCTATCACACTTTTAGATGAAGGCACACATTGCTCAGAGGGTGGTGAGCTCACTGGAGCAAACATAGATTACTTCAGAAAATTACTGGGAAATAGGTAGGGAGTGGGGGATATGAGAAAAACTAACTAAATGTAGGGTCCTTATCCAGGAAAATTTTATAGCTCTGTACACTGAAGACTTTTAAGCAAAGAGAAAACTTTAGTGGAAGTCAGTTGGACAGTAACTATTTGGTGTGATAGGATGAACTGATCTTTTTCCAGTTAAAACTTGGCCTGGAACTTTTCTGTAGTGTTAATCTTAAAGCTGGATGATTTTAGTAAAGAAGACTTTGTGAATGCCTGAATTAGACCCACACAGATCTTCCAGTAAGTTTGAGGCCAGTCACTCCCTGGCAGTTTCTAGACGATCAATCATTGGTGAAACTCAGCCTTATACGTTGGCCAATGAGCCCAGGCCAGTGCTGTTAATCCTCATTAATTTGATTTAAACTTACTGGCAGGACAGGGTGGCATTTATAAATGTAAAAACACTCCTGAGAGAAATTCCAAGCTCTCAAGGTGCCGTTTAGCTTTGGCATATTGAATGTGTTTTAGATTTGACATATATTTTCCTCTCCCTTGAGGACATACAGACTTCATCAAGATAGACAAAGGGAAATGGCATGTCACCCAGTCCCCTCTTTTTTTTTTTTTTTTTTTTTTTTAAAGGGAAACCAGTAAAAAAATACCGGACACCTACTTTGTTCCCAGTATGGAACTAAGCATTGGGAGCATACAAAGAAGCCTAAGTTTCTGCCTCTGAGCAAGTTAAATCTGGGTGAACAGAGAGCCGGCTCCTTATGAAAGCAGAGACTGAGCCAGGGAGAGGGACTGATGGAAACAAAGGGCTGTAGAGGCTGGGGAGGTGGGCATCTGCGAAGGGCTGGTGGTGGGCCTTGAAGGAGGGTGAAGGTTTCAATGGAGACAAGTGGAAAGTGGCACTGGCGGGGGACTGGCTTGAGCTGATTTGTTCAGGGCAGGATGACTAAGAAAGTTGGGGTGGAGAGAACTCACCTATGGCTGCACTTCTCAAACTAGTGACAAGTGTCCCAGTTGGTACTTTAAGCTGCCAGGAACATTGAAGACCTGGGAAAACAAACCAAAAACAAATTTCCATTTAAACTAACAGATAGTATGGAATAAAGTGAAGCAATCTATTTTAAAAAAAAACATAAATCAAAGAAAATTTTCAGTTAAGGCAGACAACACTCCCAGATGCCAGTATTCCATATTCTTCAATACCTACTGTAGGCCATGCAGGATTCTAGGCATTTTAGATACAGTAATGTACCTTAATACTCACAGCAACGTTAGGAGGAAACTGATTCAGTAACTTGCCCATGGTTACTCTGCTAGCAAGTAGCAGACCCAGGGTTTGAACCCAGGTACTTCCTCTAGTGGTTACATAGGCTCTTAACCACTAAGCCTTACTGTCTTAATGTACAAAGCACAGGACAGTGAAGAGGGACAGAAGAGAAAGAATACTAGTGGGAAAGTTAGTTATATATATATATATTTTTTTTTCTTCTCTTTTTTGAGACAGGGTCTCATTCTGTCACCCAGGCTGGAGTGCGGTGGTGTGATCTTGGCTCATACAGCCTCTACCTCCCGGGCTCAAGTGATTCTCCCATCTCAGCCTCCTGAGTAGCTAGGACTACAGGCACATGCCACCACACCTGGCTAATTTTTGTATTTTTTTGTAGAGATGGGGTTTTGACATTTTGTCCAAGCTTGTCTTGAACTCCTAAGCTCAAGCAATACACCTGCCTTGGCTTCCCAAAGTGCTGGGATTACAGGTGTGAGCCACTGTGCCTGGCCTATTTATATATTTTAAAGTAATAGTGAATACTGCTATAAAGCTGGGGAACATACCATGGATCAGATCCCTTCTAATGGTCTGCTTTTCCGTTGCTAGTGGTAGGAAGGCTTGTAAATTAAATGTGGAGCCCCAAATAAGGGCCAGGGGCTGGAAGCATGTCCATTTGCCACCTGTAGAGTGGGTACTAACCTGGAATGAGGGGGAAAAAAATGAAACACCCTGCTATAAGGCATTTTGCTGAAAAAAAAATCTAAATTGTAGCACTGAAAGGGAATAGCCATATTAAGGTTGGAAAGGCACTTTATGTATAGATTATATAGCGTCTCACATTTCACAAGAAGCTATTCTATAGGCATTAGTGAGCCACAAAAGGTTCTGCCCATGAAATGACATTTAAGAGGAAAATTAGAGGGAAATAAACTATTTTGGTTCCTGCAATGGCAGAGGAGGAACCTATGTCTTCCAGGAAGGCTTTCTGGATTTCAAAGGAGAATTACTGTTTTATTTGTCCTAGGCCAGTCTGAACATGGGATGAGTATGGCACTTTGCTCTCCTCTCCACTCAAATTTGGGCAAACTGCATTTGTCCCTGAAATGTTATTTGTGATAGATAGTAAGTACTTCACTCTCTAATCATACACATCATCATTACTAACCCTGTATCATTTCCCCATCTGTGCTTGTGTGTGTGTGTGTGTGTGTGCATGTGTCTCCTGGTCAGTCTTTTCTGTTACACTTTGTAAGCTATGAAGGCAGGCACTTGGTCAATATAGTGCTTTTTGTGCAGCATCAAACTTAGCTCCATGTATGATTAGGTCCCTAAAACATTACTTTTGGTGATGATGATGATGATCCATGAGTAGCTGGGGATGCTAGAAGCATTGATAGTCATCGGGAAAGGCTGGAGGTAAGTTCTGGAATATAGTCAAGACTCAGTGCTGCCCAGTGCTGTGGGTAGAAAAAAAGGAAAGGTACCCTTAGATATCTGTGAGAGATATAAAGGAAAGGAGTGTGTGTGATGTGAGGCCAAAGGGATGAGAGGTATGGGAAGAGAAAACAGGCTTGCTCCTGCAGCATGGGGCCTGTTGCTGACTACTGACTACTACATTCTCAGCACTTGTGGGGACCAAATGGAAGCTTCTCCTCTCAAACATTTGTGTTTACTTTTCTATTTAATGTGTGAATATTTTCTTTCCTGCACCACGTGCGGTCAGTCCGTGACAAGTGTGCCCTAGGCTCTCATGGTTGCCAGCACATTTGTGTGAGTGATGGGGCCGCATCCTACCACTGTGATTGCTATCCTGGCTACACCTTAAATGAGGACAAGAAAACATGTTCAGGTGAGGATCAGCCCTTTAAGGCTATTTCCTTTGGTAGGAAAATTTTTCAGGAGCAAGCTTTTTTCTTTCTGTCTAAGACACAGTTGTGATTCTTTCTCCCTGTCAGAATTCTCCAGTGGCTCCCACTGGTCTACAGAATAAAACAATGATACCCCTATACCAGGCAGCCTACCCTCCATGATCTGTTTCTGTCTTCTCTGTTTTTCACATTTTTCTTAATAACTAAACTTTCTGCCTAAGTCTGAATTTTTTTTATTGTGGTAAAATACACATACAATTTACCATTTCAATTATTTTCAAGTGTATAGTTCAGTGGCATTAAGTACATTTACATTGTTGGGCAACCACCACCAGTATCCATCTCCAGAAATTTTTTATCATCCCAAAATAAAAGTCTGTGCCGATGAAACAATAACTGCCCATCACCCGCTCCCCTCAGCCCATGGTAACTACTTCTCTCATCCTGGCTTTTAAAACTTTTCTACTACATTTGCCCCCAGATTCACTGCTTCTTCCTGCATCCTGGTCCAGCCACAGTGGGCTCTTTGATGGTCCAGGAGCATGCCCTGCACTCACTCATTCCCACCCTCCCCTCAATGCTTTTGCTTGTCAGAATTTGCTTGCCAACATTTGGTTTTGTTGAATTAAATTTTTGCCAATCCAGTGGATGTTTTTTTCATTTCCTGGTTACTAATGAGGTGAGGCATCTTTTCCTGGAGAGTACTGCCATTTTAACAGTCTTTCATTGCATTAACATGGTATGTCTTTAATTTAATTTAATTTTATTTTATTTTAGGTCTTCTTTAATTTCTTTCAAAATTGTTTTGTAGTTTTCAGTGTACAAGTCTTGTACTTTTAAAAATATTTATTCCTAACTATTTTATTCCTTCTGGTGCTATTATAAGCACCATTTCTCCATTTCTCAACTTTCAATTTTGCTACAACCCAGGTTTGAGAAATGGAGTTTGAGATCCATTTCTCAACTTTCAATTTTTCTACAATCCAGGTTTACAATTTTCTATGAAGTGTTGTAATTAAGACTATCCCACTGAACCCATGCCCTGCTAGAGCTTAGAGACTATCAGGCACGACAGACACTGAACAAGTATTATATATACCCATCTTATGGGTACAGGGATAATGGACATGTAGTTGATCTTCAATAGATACTTCCTGGTTTATTGACTGATTAACTAAGATGGGATTTGGACTGGCTGTCCCTAAAAGGTTCAATAGGATTCAGACAGGTGGATAGATGATAGATTATATTTAATGAATTTATGATCTCCCATCCCTATATTGGATCTTTGTAAAATGTTAAGAGTAAAAATGTTGCAGCAAAGGACCATTTCCTGTCCTCAGGCAATAGAATTACTCCATTGGAAGATGATACACCAGTCTTCAGACCTGGGAAGTTACTCTTATTTCTATTCACAACTTTAGGAGGAGCCCTGATACTGAATAGGAATAGCTGCCTGACTGAATTCCATAAAGAAATAGGAGTTACTTTTATCACCTCTCATATTTGGTTAAATGTCAATACAAACGTGAATTTTCAGTTCCAAAGTATTTATTGGTAAGAACTAGGACTCTTACTTCAAACCATTAAATAGAATAACAGTCCTCTAGAGGAAATCAGGACTTAACCTGGTTTTTATCCTTTTTTTTTGTTTTGTTTTTTGAGACGACATTTCAATCTGTCACCCAGGCTGGAGTGCAGTGGTGCGATCTCAGCTCACTGCAACCTCTGCCTCCCGGGTTCAAGCAATCCTCCTGCCTCAGTCTCCCGAGTAGCTGGGATTACAGGCATGGGCCACCACGCCCAGCTAATTTTTGTGTCTTTATTAGAGACGGGGTTTCACTATGTTGTCCAGGCTGGTCTTGAACTCCTGACTTCAAGCGTTCCACCCACCTTGGCCTCCCAAAGTCCTGGGATTACAGGTGTGAGCCACTGCGCCTGGCCCTAGTTTTCATCTTTGGTATATTTTAGCCATACAAATAGAGGACTATTGTCCTAGTTTTATTTTTATTTATTTATTTTTAAGAGACAGGGTCTTACTCTGTTACCCAGGCTGGAGTGCAGTGGTGTGATCATGGCTCACTGCAGCCTTGAACTCCTGGGCTCAAGTGATCCTCCTGCCTCAGCCTCTCGAGTAGCTAGGATTACAGGTGTGTGCCACTATGCCTGGCTAACTATTTTACTTTTTTGTAGAGACAGGGCCTTGCTTCGTTGCCCAGGGTGGTCTTGAACTCCTGGCCTCAAGTGATCCTTCTGCCTCAGCCTCCAAAAGTGCTGGCATTATAGGAATAAGGCACTGCACCAGGCCCATTTTCCTTTCTTAATTACACAGTATTACATAAACATTGTCTTATTTCTATATCCCTGGCCTCCCCCTATACCAACCATGTTTTTCTAAATTTACTTTATATCATGAATAATTTCTGGCAATCACAAAAGTACAGAGAATAAAATAAGGAACCCTCACTTAAGCATCACTCAGCTTTGACAATTATAAACATTTTCCCCAATGTATCCTAAGATGAATTTTTCTGTGATAAGTATTTTCTCGTCTTTTTGTTTGTTCATCTATCCCTTTACCTCTTGGAAAATGCACTTAGGTAAGTCTTAACGGTGGAAATATTCAACTGTGGATTTCCTGATTTGTTATGATTCCTATATAGCTATTCCTAGATAGTATATTTGTGTACTGTCATTGTCTTCAGCCACTGAGGAAGCACGAAGACTTGTTTCCACTGAAGATGCTTGTGGATGTGAAGCTACACTGGCATTCCAGGACAAGGTCAGCTCGTATCTTCAAAGACTGAACACTAAACATATCCTTTCTGGAAGGTTTTCTCCTTCTGCCTGGAGCCAACCAAGGTACTACGATCGAGCCAAACACTTTAAGACATTCCACAGGCAAGTGACTTATTTGTTAGGTTTTAATATGAGCAGTGGTAATATACAACTTTAAAAAATTTAGAGTTCTTTTCTAATGGTTTAATAGACTGTTTCACCCATTCAATATTTACATGTAAAAGCTGCCTATTTTGTCCCCTAGTGCTTTTCCATAACTGTATATGCTCCTAATGATGCTCTTACATAACAGATGGAACATTTATGCTAATGACTCCTTAATATGGCTTTCTTAGTTCAGAATCTGAACATGTACAAAGCAAGTCAGCTGATTAATGGGGTGTGATATCTCAGATTACACACAGTTGTACCCTTTGACTAGCCAAGTGGTCAAAAAGCAGATTTTAAAATGTAACATGATACAATCTCAGAAACTTTCAAAATCAGTTCTTTCTTCAAAGGAGTAACTAGGGAAAAGTTTCTCAGAACAGTTCAAGTTAACAACTCTGTTCCTATGTACCCCAGAGGAGTGGAATTTAGATTGTGGTAGGTACAATCTAGGCGTATGTAGAGACTTTTAAGGGAGGTACAGATAATTGGAAAGAATCAATTTCCAAATCCTTCACTTGCTTAAGACACTACTTGGAATCAGCTGGCATTTTCTTTTCCCGTCTCTCATTTCCATATCACCATTCTCCTAACTTCACACAAGAAAGGCATACTTCTCATTTACCCTAGATCTACTAAGGTGCATTTGTTAGAACAGCAGAATCTTGAGATAGCCAAACAAAGGGACAATCCAACTATCCCTTTAATCAATACTTCATAAACACTGCTTCCCCCATCCCTCACACTAAGATGCTACTCCAATTACATTTTATATGAACAAAAACATCTGAAGACCACTGCAGGGGTCTACTTTTATTGTGCTCTCTGAAGAACAGGATTTTTGACTTTTAGACTGAATTCAACTTTTGGTGAGAAAACAGTTTTGCTCTTTTTTTTCACTTCTCATAGGACATAATTATTTTATCTTGTGAAGTGTTTGAAAGTGTGTTTATATTTTCTAATGTGTAAAAATAAATGGTGTTGGCCTTAACAACTTGCCACTTGATGACATTTTGGAGAAGTTGAAAATAAATGAATATGGACAAATACATCGTTAAATTGCTCCAATTTCTCACCTGAAAATGTGGACAGCTTGGTGTACTTAATACTCATGCATTCTTTTGCACACCTGTTATTGCCAATGTTCCTGCTAATAATTTGCCATTATCTGTATTAATGCTTGAATATTACTGGATAAATTGTATGAAGATCTTCTGCAGAATCAGCATGATTCTTCCAAGGAAATACATATGCAGATACTTATTAAGAGCAAACTTTAGTGTCTCTAAGTTATGACTGTGAAATGATTGGTAGGAAATAGAATGAAAAGTTTAGTGTTTCTTTATCTACTAATTGAGCCATTTAATTTTTAAATGTTTATATTAGATAACCATATTCACAATGGAAACTTTAGGTCTAGTTTCTTTTGATAGTATTTATAATATAAATCAATCTTATTACTGAGAGTGCAAATTGTACAAGGTATTTACACATACAACTTCATATAACTGAGATGAATGTAATTTTGAACTGTTTAACACTTTTTGTTTTTTGCTTATTTTGTTGGAGTATTATTGAAGATGTGATCAATAGATTGTAATACACATATCTAAAAATAGTTAACACAGATCAAGTGAACATTACATTGCCATTTTTAATTCATTCTGGTCTTTGAAAGAAATGTACTACTAAAGAGCACTAGTTGTGAATTTAGGGTGTTAAACTTTTTACCAAGTACAAAAATCCCAAATTCACTTTATTATTTTGCTTCAGGATCCAAGTGACAAAGTTATATATTTATAAAATTGCTATAAATCGACAAAATCTAATGTTGTCTTTTTAATGTTAGTGATCCACCTGCCTCAGCCTCCCAAAGTGCTGGGATTACAGGCTTGAAAGTCTAACTTTTTTTTACTTATATATTTGATACATATAATTCTTTTGGCTTTGAAACTTGCAACTTTGAGAACAAAACAGTCCTTTAAATTTTGCACTGCTCAATTCTGTTTTTCGTTTGCATTGTCTTTAATATAATAAAAGTTATTACCTTTACATATTATCATGTCTATTTTTGATGACTCATCAATTTTGTCTATTAAAGATATTTCTTTAAATTATACTGAATTAACAGTTATTTTGATATTCAACAGTTTCTTATCAAAAGACAGAAGTTTGATTCTCCTCCTATAGTTTAATCTCACACTCCTGAGGCTAAAAGTGTAAGTTCAGGTTCAAAAGAAAGGCTTCAATATAAAATTATCTAAATTTGGATAAAATAATGATGAGCTTTACATTAATATAAGCTCCTGAGAAGCAAATATATCCTACAGATGTAAATATAAAATATAAACTTTAAGGAAGGAACAAAAACTAAATATACCAAGGAAATATATAAAGCATCTCTTACTTTTCAAAAATTTTGAAAGGGTATGACATAGAGCTACAGTAGTATTTTCCAGACTTTTTTGAGCCCAAAATCAGTAATACATATTAATATACCACAGAGAAATGGTGGTATAGAAGGAATAAATGAGAGTTCATGTGCAAGAAGGGAAAGATAAAGAGAGGTGAGTTTTCAGGTGTCACCATCAGTAACTAGCTTCAACTAATTATGTCTTGACCAGTTTATTGGAAACTCCTGGGTTAGATAATACTAATTTGTCTCATGCGTCCAGTATAGGGAGCCTATGGACAGGGGCCAATGTATCTTAAACAGACACACAAACAATGGAAAGCAAACATTATCTGAATGGGATTGGGTTAAGTTTGGAAAGAATTCCTCATGGAGACTGATTTGTGCTGGTTTGGCTAGGCACAACTGGCCTGTTAAGAGGGTAGGACCATATATAAAGTGGCTTGGGAAGCAGAGCCGGATGGAATGTTGCCCTGCAGAAAGCATATTGGCTTACTTGAGGTGGGGGCTCCCTAGTAAAAACATTTAGGATTGAGGGAAGATCTGATTTTGGATGGAGTTTAGATTTGCTAGGAAAGGCACTAGGGACTATTGTCAATTCTATAATAGATTGTGCTGGGTGAGACAAATCACCCAGGTCAAAGGATTGGAGGATTTTTATTTTATTTTTGTCTGAGATGGGAAAAGACTCCAAGTGGGGAAATTAACTACTGATGCATAAATTACATGCTAGATTATGGTAAAAGGGAAAACCAGAAATAAAAACATAGGTGAGACCAAATAATTTCATGAGTGGTTCTACTTGGATTTCTGCCCTATGCCTTAGACTTTGAGGCTTTGTAACTCTCAAGCATTCCAAAAGGACAAAGGAGAATGAAGAAAGAAGGTAAGAAAAAGAAGAGAATATGTAACAGTCGACTCTAGACGAGAAAACACCAAACGCTCAAATATTTGTAAAATGGGAGGCCATGCCCCAATAGCAATTGTACGCTGTAATTACCCAACGTTTACAGAAATTCCTTTAAAAGGACCCTCGGGGTTGCGGTAATAATTAAACTGTTAAAAAATATCAAAACAAGCGGAATAAACAAAATCTTCTATTCCTAAATTGCTCTAGAGGTTCTCCAATCCCCAAAGACACAGAGAAGGGTTGTAAGATCTCAGTACGCACATTTGCACTTTCATCTGGCCAGTGGCGCCAGCCTATCAAATACAGTAAATGGCTTTTCCCTTTCAAGAATGTTGGAACTTTGGAACTTACAAAATACTAAATAATTTGCCCTTATTCGAACGGGCGCCTCTCCTCTTAGGTTTATAGTAATGCCACCTGAGGCGCGGCTCCATAGCGATCATCACAGGTGTGGCGGGAGGGAGGGCGGCAGTGACCACGAGACGGGGCGCAGAGGGCGAGCGCACGGCTGGCAGTGACAGGTCGCGACCCAGCTCCTTGCGGAGAGCAGAAAGGCCCAGACGCCAGGGAACAGGACTAGCCCAGCTACCGCCTCGCGCCTCGCGCCCTGCGCCCACAAACCCATCGACGTCCGCGCAGGCGCACTACGCCGGTGCCCGGTGCGAGGGCGTCACCGGAAGTGTCCCGCGGCGCCCCGGATGCGACCGGGCAACAGCGGTTGCCAGGGCGACGGGAGCTTTCCGGAGCTGCTGGTACTCCCGATTGGAGACGTAGAACCGTTACTTGTCGAGGGCCTTAGCGGCCGCCGTGACCCTCTCGGGGATCCCACGATGTTCTTCTACCTGAGCAAGAAAGTGAGTTTCCTGGGGGGCGTCCTCGTTTCTCCGCCATTCCCGCAGCCTGCGGCGATTCCCGCTGCCTTCCCGAGAAGCCAGGCTCCTTCACCCGGTCCTGGTCGTGGCTTCGCCATTCCGCAGCCATCCTTCCCGCCGGGTCCAGCCTCCGACCTCTTCCTGCGGTTCCCAGAGCCTCAGTCTTTGGCCGAGCTTGCTGCCCTCTCGCAGCACTCTCCCATTCCTGCCCCTGGCTAGGTCCTTTTGGGTGGCTTGAGGATAAGTCGCCACGTGCTACCCTATGTTTCCTCCTCCACTTGTTGCTGATCCACGTGATTTAAACTCTTTGGATCACCACGAGCCATTGGGCAAGAGAAAAGAAATAACAATAGGATAGCCTAAGTTGTAGGTAAAAAGGAAGAGGGACTGGTGGTATGGATTTATACCCTCTCCCCGTCCTCCCTTTAAAAAATCCATCCGGTGAGACTCTGGCGTTGGCTTCCTCCGCAGTCACTATCCTTCTCTTTTGTGCACTTCTTTCCCTCTTTCCCAAATGCTAGAGCCCGGGTCAGTTCAGGGGACCATGCCCATTTTCACAACAGCTCATTTTTTTTCTGCAAGGCCGTTCGTTTTTCTTCTTGGAAGATTTTCTTCAGCTTTCATCTCCTGCAGACTTACTTCCCAGCTCCTTCGTGAAAAGTTGCTAGTGCGGCTGTGGTTGCTTTTTCAGATTTCCATTCCCAATAACGTGAAGCTGCAGTGTGTATCCTGGAACAAGGAACAAGGGTTCATAGCATGCGGTGGTGAAGATGGATTACTGAAAGTTTTGAAATTAGAGACGCAGACAGGTAAATGAATGCAAGCCCACATGTTTGGTAGTAAATTGGCTAATGTTATTTGTTCAGTGCGGTCTACTCATGTTATCTGTCAATATGCAGTTCTGATTATTTTAAAGGGAAAACTACCAAAACATTTTATGGTGTTTTTCTGGAGTATATTTGCAATAAAGTTCAGAGAATGTTGAATGTAAACATCGGATGGTTTTTGCTGAGTTATTAATGGAAAATGAAAAATAATGAAGAATGAAAATAAGTCACTGTGTTATGCTATGTCTAATTATTGTACTATATTATTAGGAGTCTAAAAGAAATCCTGTGAGTCAACATTTCACTAAGAAAATCTGGCAGATTGTTTACAGGTCTGTGTCATCCTTTCTGCTTATCAGATGCATTAATGGTTATTCACCTAGTGTCCAAGAACAGAAAATGGGATACGTTTTACATTTCTATTAGTAGGTCTCTTGTCTTTGCTGCTTGATTTCTTTCTTTATCTAGTTCTCTGGAATCACAGCAAACAGCTTCCCACTTCTTAGCCCCCCTAGATTGAAGACCTAGATAAGGTAATTGGAGTTAAATCTCAGCTCTTCCACAAGACTACTGAATGACTTTCAACAAGTTAGCTGAGGATCTTACTACTTTAGTTTAGTCTTCCATAAAATGAAAATGTAGGGGGTTAAACTGCATTACATTTTTGGATTCCTTACAACATAGCTTCTCAAACTGTATTAGGTATAAGAATCACTGGAAGAGGTTGTTAAGATGGATTTCATGCTCTACCCCCACACAATAGACCCGGGATGGGGCCTGAGAATTTCCATTTCTAGTGAAGCTGAGTTGCTGGTCCTCAGACCGCACTTTGAATAGCATTACCTTACAACTTTGAATGCGGTATGAATAATAAATACTTATTGACGATTTTCCATGTAGTGGATGTTTAACCTTCACAATCTTATTTGACTTCACAATAATCTTGGGCAGTAGGTATTCTAGGTGAGAAAATTGAGGCTCTGAGCTGTTAACTGCCCTAGGTCACGCAGCCAGTAAGTGGCGGAACAAGGATGTGAAACTAAGTTTGTCTCACATTCAAGTCCTTGTTTTTAACCACTACACAAAGGGCTAGTGGACAGCCTAAGTAAAGAAGAGTACCAATTAAAGTTTGGCTTATGCTGTTTTATAGTTCAATCTGTCAGTGCTTTAGTTTTTTAAAACTGTGTTAAAAGAAAGTTTTTCTCTGTTTCTTAAATGTGTATATAGATATATATATACGTGTGTATATATATATATGTGTGTCTGTATATACATACTTTTGCTTACAATATTTGGCAAGTTTTTTTTTTTTTTTTTTTTTTTGAGACAGAGTTTCGCTCTGTTGCCCAGGCTGGAGTGCAGTGGCTGGATCTCGGCTCATTGCAAGCTCCGCCTCCTGGGTTCATGCCATTCTCCTACCTCAGCCTCCCAAGTAGCTGGGACTACAGGTGCCCACCACCATGCCTGGCTAATTTTTTTGTATTTTTAGTAGAGACAGGGTTTCACCGTGTTAGCCAGGATGGTCTTGATCTCCTGACCTCGTGATCTACCCACCTCGGCCTCCCTAAGTGCTGGGATTACAGGTGTGAGCCACCGTGCCTGGCCTGCAAGTTTTAAATTACATTAAGAAGTGCATTCATTTTGTTTAACATTGAAGGCTTTTTTAAAAACAAACTTCTTTTTCTGCTCTGCCCTTTTGATGAGCTGTGACTGGAGTATTCTTTGAAATTAGTGAACAAGATGGGAAATCAATTCTTGGGAGGTTTGGAAAATGGAGTAAAGTATTTGTTTTGGAACTGAATGATTATGAATTGTGCTGAAAGAAATAAATATGAGGAATATGGCTGTGAGAGTCTAACAAGATCAGTATATTATATTTAATACAACTAGTGTTGATTCAGCAGATCCGTCCAGTAACAATCATAGATATTGCATGCCTGCTTTCTATGAAGCACTGTGTTGTGCTAAAGATGCAACATGTGAAGTATAATGTGTTGTAGTTTGGGTACAGCAACATAATACAGCAATCCTCTACGTCCATAAATCATCTTCTATGGCACCATTGTTAATGTCTATTTAGTATTTCATTATATTGGTATTAATATATCATAATTTGCTTAACCAATTTTAGTATTGGACATTTAGGTGTCTCCACATTTTTACTATTAAAGCAACTGTATCTTTGTATCCAAATCTTTGCATAAATAGTTAATACTTTCTACGATAAATCTCTAGAAATGGCATTCACTGGATCGAAGAGTGTGTACATTTATACAAGTTCCTAATATGTGTACACAAATTACCCTCCAGAAAGTTTGCACCACATTGCATTTCCAGTTTTCAGTTCCCTGCTCTAGAAGGAAAGGAATTAGAACCAGCAATCCATCTTTTTACATCAGGTTTACTTCTCTCACAGGCCAGCTTCCAGTGTTTTGCTGGAGCCCATCTCCCTTCACCTTCTCAGGTACCTTTCTGCCAATTTATCCTCTCTCTCTCCTTTCAATATCAGTCCTCTCTCCTTTTCTCTCCCTCACCAGTGACTTTCATGTTCTAAATCTAATGGACAGCTTTTATTGACTCATCAGGATTTGACTTGAAACATTATTTTTCCAGACAAGAGAATTCAGAATGTTTAAGTTATTGTTATATTTAGACGTACTACTTTTCTCTCCTTCTCTGGTCAGTCCTCAGTCTCTTTGCTAGATTTCCCTCTTCTATTAGAATTCCTGAGAACTTGCTTCTGGGCTCTCTATTCACTTGCTCTATTTATTCTTTCATTCTCATGCCCTTAAATGCCATCTGTGGTATGAGGTGAAGAGCCCCACATTTATATCTCCAGCCCAGTCCTGATTTTTCAGACGTGGGTGTCTCCACTGGAGTCTTTCACAGGTATCTCCTATTTACTGTGTTCAAAACCGAACTCTTGATATTCTTCCAAATCTCTTTCAATTCTCTCCATTTCAGCAAATATCTCCATTTCACTCATTTGCTCAAGCTGGAAATCTTCTCTTTTCCTCCGTTAACAACATCTGCATCAGCAATCCTGTTGCTTTTGTCTCCAAAGTGTATGTTGAACCCATCCTTTCCTTTGTCTCCCCTGCTCCCTCTATAGCTCCAGCTACCATCATCCCTCACCTGGTCTATTGTGAGAATCAGTTTCCCTCCTTCCATTGTCTCTGGCTTCCTCTTAGTCGTTCTTGACACTCTAGCCAGTGTCAGGCTTTTTTTTTTTTTTTTTTTTTTTTTTCCCGAGATGGGGTCTCACTCTGTTGCCCAGGCTGGAGTGCAGTGGTGCAGTCTTGGCTCACTGCAACTTCCACTTCCCGGGTTCAAGCAATTCTCCTGCCTCAGCCTCCTGAGTAGCTGGGATTACAGGTGCGTGCCACCACGCCCAGCTAATTTTTTGTATTTTTTTTTTTTTTTTTAGTAGAGACGGGGTTTCACCGTGTTAGCCAGGATGGTCGTGATCTCCTGACTTCAAGTGACTCGCCCGCCTGGGCCTCCCAAAATGCTGGGGTTACAGGCGTGAGCCACTGCGCCCGGCCCTTTTTTTTTTTTTTTTTTTTAAAGGGACCAGATGATGTCATTTCCTTGCCAAAAGGTATTTAAAGGGCTGACAGCCTGGGTTGGAGCTGCTTGTGGTAGGGTTTGAGGATGATGGTCCTGGGTTGGAGCTGCTTGTGGTAGGGTTTGAGGATGATGGTCCTGGGTTGGAGCTGCTTGTGGTAGGGTTTGAGGATGATGGTCCTGGGTTGGAGCTGCTTGTGGTAGGGTTTGAGGATGACGGTCCTGGGTTGGAGTTGCTGGTGGTAGGGTTTGAGGATGATGGCCCTGGGTTGGAGCTGCTTGTGGTAGGGTTTGAGGATGATGGCCCTGACTAGGATTGAGGTGGCATTTCTTGCTTTTTCTGCTACGACTGCCAAGGCCTCCACCCTCATCCTCATGAGAGGAAATAGAGAGCCCTGGAAGCCAACATTTGCATCAGAGAAAAAGTATATAGGGCCATGGAAGCCAACTGCAGCTGACTGCGCAGTCCTCCGGTACCTGCAGGCAGTGACATTGCCTCAACCTTCCAATATGCCCAGGACAACAAAATTGACCAGAAATCTCAGGTAAGGTGTCCTTAGCTAGACCCAGGGATGCATACAGAGTCCTTTGCAGTCAGTCATTCACACAGAGAAGCAAGGCAACCAGATGATCCTGCCAGAGAATCTGGCGAATATGGTACCATCTCTTTCTCAGAATTGTATTATCCTTATGTGTTGCAAAACAGTCTTCTGTATATTTTGATTCTAGGTTTCAAGCTTATTTTGCAGCATGTAACAGGAATTTCTGTTGAAATTGGGCTGCTGACAACTTTTATGAATGCAAACAAAAGCATTGGCAGTCACGCTTTTCTAAGAGAAAGATTCTCAAAGATTTAGTGTGCTTGGTTATTGGTGTTATTAGCATGATCTTCTGTTCTTCTATGTCATACCTTTTGTTTTCAGTTGCTTTATTACACCTTAATTTTTTAAAAGCCTTCTTTGGACTTTTTGATGTACTTCGGATTGTTGGAATAACTGATTTCATTCTGAAATTCCTTTACATGAGTTTAAAATGCTTTATTTTATTGGTGACTTCTTCGATTATGCCTTTTAAATCCAAGGATTACTGTTATGTGCTTTTAGAAGATTTATGTCAGTATTACCAGATTTTTGTTCACATACCAGTTTGGTTTCATTACCTTATTGGCTATCTGGAGTCTAGTAATGTAACTGAATGGAATCTTGGGATATTATCGCTGGCTTTACTCTACATCATTTAAAACTTTTGGCCTTTTTATGGACATCTGAGAACTTTCAGGTGGGTTTTATGAATATTTTTTACATGATCAAGTTACGGAGTTGCTTCCAGCAAGAGACGTTTTCAGATGTGGATGATATTTGTTCAATATATCAAGCTGAATTTCAAAGCCTGTTCTTAACTGTCAGCATGTGTTTTGTCAAGAGTATGCTACCTTATGGTCTAACAGAGGGCAAACATGGGTGGTCAATCTAAATCTCATATGACCCATTTCACTTAGGTTATAGTGACATCAGAATATGTGGGTGTGTGTATATATGTATATATATATATATATATATATATATATATATATATATGCATTAGAATGGATTTTTCAGTGCTAGAAGTTAAGAAAAATGTTTCCACCAAATATTTTAGAATATTATAATAAAGTTTAAGTATGTTGTACAATTTTTAAAAGATTAAATGAATGAAAGAACCCTGTGTTAAAAAAAATTATGTTCAGCCTAATGTGTGTGTCAGCAACATTTATTCTATCTTAATTGACAGATGATTGCATTGTTAAACTGTACATGTGTACTCTTGTGTTACCAAAACAACTGGGTAATTAGAACTAGTGATTTAGAGGAAATTAGGTATCTTTTCCTGACAATGTTTTCAGAATAAAGGATATTTTTCATAATATTTTAAGATACTTGTTATCTGAAAGTAGAATTTTCTTTAGCATTGGTATAATTCCCATTCTCACAAATTCTTAAGATCTTCATAACATTTGTATTTTAAATGAAAATTTTAAATGCTATGTTTTATGTGTAACAGATTTCTAAGCCAAGATTAATTTATTGAGATGACATTTTAATATTCTCTGTAGGATGGTTAGTAAATTTTTAAGACGTCTTTAGAGGTTTTCATTGCACTTTGGATAAAATCTAAAATTCTTATCATTTTCTACAAATACTTCATAGTTTTTCTTGTGCCTATCACTCCAGCCTTGTTTGATGCAATTTTCTCCCCTGTTCATCCACATAGGCCTTCTTAGAGTTTGTCAAGGGCTCTAGTTGTCTACCTCAGAGCCTTTATGTTGCTGTGTCCTAGCCTGGAATACTCCCCTTCTTTCTCTACCTTTCCTGGCTATCTCCAGTTTACCTCTCAGTCTCAGCTTAAATATCAGTTCTTCTGATAGCCTTCCCTGGTTCCCCATCAATCTAAATTAAGTCACTTCTGCTACTCTTTCTTATTATGCTTTCACATTCCCAGTTTATAGTTACATTTATGTGTATGTGAGTATATATTTAATATTGGTCCCTTAGACTGAAAGCTCTGAGAAGAAAGGGGAAATGACTGTTTTGTTCACCATTTTATATGTAGAACCTTTTGTAATGCATAGCACAGTGTACACATTTCATAAATATTTGTTAAATGAATGAATAAATGAGTGAATATAAGATTCTGTGTAATCTAGTAAAAACCCATTTTCAAAGTCTATGCTCTTTTGATCCCTTGTAAGCTGTAGAGTTTTCAATCTGTAGGCCATAAATATTTCTATTTGTGGTCTTTTGGAAAGGAATAAAAAGCAGTGATGATTATTAATATATGTAATGTATGAGTAAACAATCTTCATTTATATATTTTGCTTTATTTTACCAGAATATCTTTGCAAGGGGTATGTGTTATTGTTCATGTTTATACCATGAGAAAAATATATCAGAATGGGGCATACTTAGAAAAATGATTAATACTGCCCAGGAATACAAAAAGAGTCAAAATCTTATAATATGTCACTTTTACATATTTATCATAGTAGTTTGTTTTGTTTTGTTTTAGATGATGCAAAATTGAGGGGCCTTGCAGCCCCCAGTAACCTTTCTATGAATCAGACTCTTGAAGGTCATAGTGGTGAGTCATTCAATTTCTTTTAAGTCATGTTTGAGTGGTATTTAGGCATTTAGAAAGTTTCTACTTAATGCAGAAATGTCAACATTTTAAATAATGGTAATATTTACAGTACAGATGCTCTTTGAGTTACGATGGGGATATGTTCCAATAAACCCATTGTAAGTTGAAAATGCATTTAATACACCTAACCTACTGAACATCGTAGCTCTGCCTAGCTTACCTTAAATATGCCCAGAAAACACTAGCCTACAGTTGGGCACAATCATCTGACATAAAGCCTATTTTATACTAAAATGTTGAATATCTTATGTAACTTATTGATTTCTGTACTAAAAGTGAAAAACAGAATGGTTGTATGGGCACTCGAAGTACGGTTTCTACTGAATGTGCATTGCATTCCCATCACCGAAAAGTCATTTAAGTAGTACCATTGTAAGTTGGGAGCTGTTTGTAATCATTTCTGTTGAGACATAAGTAATACAACTTAGAGTCATTCAACTTTTACATGATTAAACAACATCTTAAATAAATCTAGAAGAAAATAGCTGTTTTTAATATATTGAAAATACTCCTGTCTATGGATGTTGTATATATAATCCTTTTTAGAATCTGTCCTATGATTCCAGATTAAAGGAGACTGAAGAGACTGGGTGTAGTGGCTAACACCTATAGTTCAAGCACTTTGGGAGGCCAAGGTGGGAAGACTGCATGAGGCTGGGATTTTGGAACCACCCTGGGCAACATAATGAGACCCTGTTTCTACAAAAAATAAAAAAAATTAACCAGGCGTGGTGCTGTGTGCCCGTAGTCCCCAGTACTCAGGAGGCTGAGGTGGGAGGATCGCTTGAGCTCATGAGTTGGAGGCTGCAGTGAGCCATGATTGTGCCACTGCATTCCAGCCTTGGTGACAGTGCAAGATCCTGTCTCAAGAAAAAAAAAGACTAAAGACTGAAGATGTATAACAACTAAATGCACTGTATAATCCTAGATTGGATCTTGGAATGAGAAGAACAAGTGTCTATAAAGGACATTATTTGGACAATTGGTAAAATTTGTATATGGACTGTGAGTTAGATAATAGTATATCAGTGTTAAACTTCCTAATTTGTAATATGATTATGGAAGAGAATGTCTTTATTTTTAGGAAATGTACACTAAAGTATTTAGGGATTAAAAAATTAAAAGTCATCAATTATTCACGTACCCTAGAGGTTTAAGATATGCTCAAGAGTGTTTTACTAATAGAATGGAAAACGAGTGAGAGGTGGGCAGAAGAGAGATTATAGGACATATCTACCAAAAATGATAAAAGTCCCCTAAACAAGTACTTGTTATGGTGTCCTTTGAACATCATTATTTTTGGGAGTCAGGCCAATTGAGTAAACCATGCTTGTATTTGTTTCTGTCATCAGGTATATGGTAGTTCTGGTAGCTAGCCATGATTGGTGTCTTTACTGGGATGAAATAGGGATAGATATGAAAAATAGTATTATGCATTGTTGTAGAAAATTAGTGATATCAATAACTGCATCTTATGAATAGGTTTTGAGGAATATTAAAGACTAGTTAGCTGTACAGGAACCATATTGATTTTAACATGATCTTGGTGTTTATATAAAAATGTGAATTTGAAATTAATTGTAACCTTTAAGTTTCTAAATTGTTTTATAATGTTCTAGGTTCTGTTCAAGTTGTAACATGGAATGAGCAGTATCAGAAGTTGACTACCAGTGATGAAAACGGGCTTATCATTGTGTGGATGTTATATAAAGGTATACTTTACTAGGAGAGATTATTTAATTTTTCACAAGTTGGCATCTGGATCACAGTATTTGGATGGGTAAATAACATCTCCAAAATAGACCCCTTTTACTAACAACAGGAGTTCATCCTGACTGCACAGTGATAATATTTCTGGATTTATTGCTGCCTACTTTTCACTTTTTTAAAACTTTAACCCTGTTATTAAGAAAGTGAATTAGGTGACTGTTGGCCATCTCCAAAATGAACTTAGACTCTTAGCAGAAGAATAGCTTCTACTTGAGATAAGTCTTTTTTTTTTTCCAGATTTCCAATAAGAATTACTTCTAGGTAGTTCCAGTTTATAATTACATTCATGTGTGTGTGAGTGTGTATTTAATATTGGTTCCTCAGTAGACTGTAAGCTCTGAGGGGAAAGGGGAAATGACTGTTTGTTCATTTTATACGTAGAACCTTTTATAATACATAGCACAGTGTACATGTTCAATAAATATTTGTTGAATGAATGAATAAATGAGTGGCTAGAGTTATCTCAGTAGATAAAAACACATTTAGTAAGAAGTCAAAGGGAATAATTCACTTCCTGCATGGGCCAGTTAGTTTCCTTTTCTTTTATGGATACAGATTTTATCTCAACTCTGACTACTGGTTCACAGTTTGTCTATGAGAGAGGGTGAGTAAAAGAAGGATTAACTTAGATAATCCACTTTTACCAGAAAAGCAGCTCATAATACATGTTCTCCTGAGGCCTGTAGTTATCATCTTCAAAAGGGAAGGGTGCCTTAGTTCATGTGTGCTGTTTTGAAAAGTTCATGTGTGCTGTTTTAAATGGCAGGGCATACCATTTAAAAAGTCTTCATTAAAGATATGCTATAATACTTTAATTTTTTAAAAAGTGTGTGTGTGTGTGTGTGTGTGTGTGTGTGTGTAGGGGATAGAATGTGAAAGTTCAGTGGACTGGAGTAAACTTTGTCTGTTTCCAAGGTAGGTCTTCAGGTCTTCTCTGGGTCTCAGTCTCGATTCTGTTATCCTGCTCTGGGCAGTTATTCCAAATTACATGATTATTTGCTTGGCTGCAGGCCAGAGTTGCCCATGTTGGTATGTCAAAAAGCCTTTGAGAAAAGCAAAAACAAAATAGCCTATTTTTTTGCTTCTAGTTTGGTTATGCTAAAAGACAAGTTACATCTCATTCCTACCCTGCATACAACTAGAATATTTTTGTCATTCGGCATTAGAGATGTCGTGTCACTAATGTAGTATAAACTGATTAGAATTTTTTCAAGCAGGCTTAGGGTTTTACCTAATATGCTGTGTATTTTTTTGCCTTCATTCTCTTTGTGATGGTAACTAATATGCTGCATTTAATATGCTTGTAATTATTCATTGGAGAGTTTATGTGCATATGTATAAAGTTATTGTTACTTGGAGTTTTTTTAATTGGTTATGATCTGAACCATATTGTTCAAGTGGGAAAAGTTAGGCTTTCAGAAAAATCAGTAGTTTTAGCTCTGAAAAAGCAAATGAAGTTTAATTTTTAATTGACAGAAAGAAAGAGAGAGGGAAAGAAAGAAAGAAGAAACAAAGGATGGGCATTTATTATGTTTTCTGTGATAATCTTTGAAGCAGTTATCAGTTAAGCCCAAGTTAATTTTTCATTTTGTTTTTGTTGGATTTGGAAGTTTTATAGTTTAATGTCTCAGGTTGTAGAAAACTTTGCAGTTATTTGTCCCATGGCGTACTTTATGGAATGCTTTCAATTCTTAACTACTATTTAATAGATGTGAAAGTTTTGACTTGTAATTTTTTAAATTTGTGAAAACAGGCTCTTGGATTGAGGAGATGATCAACAATCGAAATAAATCAGTTGTTCGCAGTATGAGCTGGAATGCTGACGGACAGAAGATCTGCATTGTATATGAAGATGGGGCTGTGATAGTTGGTTCAGTGGATGGTAATGTATTGATTGGACATAGAACTAAGATCAATATCTGGCTGACAGTTTTCTTCTTTAGAGATTTAAGTTAGTTACCATATGTTAGCATTCTGATTGAAAAATAGACATAAAAGGGAAACTATTTGATATACAATTTGACGACATTCAAGAACCGTTCTTTGATTTTAACCATCTGTTTTTATGTATATTCAAGGAAATTTTTTTATTTCCTACAGTGGCATTGAAAAAATTGAATTAACTTTTCAGCATTATTTTAAACATGTCTGCCTCATTATGTAATTTCTTTTTATATTGGTTAGTCTGTACAAATATATAGACTTTAGTTTCAAAAAGTCTGTGGTCGTTTTTATTGGAACTGAATATGTCATTGTTGGTTGTAGTTTATAGCCTTAAAAACCTGTATTTTTCAAATTCTAGTAATAGATAAAACTGGGTCTTCTGAGAGTCTGCACCTTTGTTTTAATTTGAAACTCTGTAGATAAATAATTTATTTTAAAATCATTTTTATTTCTCTCTCTCGCTCGCTCTGTGTGTGTGTGTGTGTGTGTGTGTCTGTGTGTGTGTGTGTAACTTCATGTAGTCAACAAATGTTTCTGAGAGCCTATAAAGCAACAGCTATCATTTTAGGAACTAAGGGTACAGCAATGACCAGACCTAGATCAGGAGAGATGGATGAGTAACTGAGAAATTACAGTATCCTGTGATAAGCGCTAAGATGGGGAAAATACAGGAGCATGTAGAAGTGCCACCTAATGCAGACTTGGAGGGATCAGGAAAGGCTTCCTGGAGGAAGTGATGCTGATGCTGAGGCATTAGCCACAAGGTAGGTTGGTGTGTAGAATGTCTCTGCCCTAAGAAGTAGTATTTGAGGAGGTCCAGAGGAGTTGCACTTAGCTATGTTTGGGCCATTGAAAAAAGTTGATTATCAGTAGGGTATAATACTAACAGTGAAGAGTAGTATGCAGTGAATCTAGAGAGAGAAACAGAGGCCAGATCATGCAGATCATAAGTTATATTAAGGTGTTTGGACTTAAGTCCAACAGCACTTGGGAGGCCAATGAAAAGTTTTAAGAATGGGAGCAATGTGATAAGATTGTTCTTTAGAAACATCTCTGTGCTACATATGAAGAATAGAGAAAGGAAGGAAAGATAATGGGCAGCTGTATCAGGAAACTGCTCTGGCAATTCAGGTGAGAGATTATGGTGGATGGTAGCCATCCAGGTAATGACAAGGGAATGGAAGTAAGTAGATTTTATACATACTCAGGAGGCAGAATAGATAGGATTGGGGATGAGAGGATGGAAGTCCCCAGGGCAGTATCCAGAGTTTTAGCTTGGGCAGCTGGATGGATGGTAATGCCTTTCATTAAAATAGTGTGGAGAAAGATTGATTTTAAGGGAAAATTCCTCTGTTGGATATGTTGATTTTGTCATGCCATAGGCCATTCAAGTAAATCTATCCAGACCATAGTTAGACATACATATCTGCAGCTCAAAAATGTCTGTGCTGAACACAAAATTTTGGGAACCACCAGCATATGCATGGTAATTTAAACCATTGAAATAGTTGAACAAAACTAAGAGGCATTTGTAGAGTTAAGAATCAGCAACATTTAGGCTGGGGACAGTGGCTTATGCCTGCAGTCCCAGCACTTTGGGAAGCCAAGGCGGGAGGATTGCTTGAGCTCAGGAGTTTGAGACCAGCCTGGACAACATAGCAAGACCTTGTCTGTGCTAAAAATAAAAAAAAAACAAAACAAATTATCTGGGCGTGGTGGCATACTCCTGTAGTCCCAATCACCTGGGAGGCCAAAGTGGGAGGATTGCTTGAGCCTGAGAGGTTGAGGCTGCAGTGAGCCATCATCTTACCACTACACTCTAGCCTGGGCAAAAGAGTGAGACCCTGTCTCAGGAAAAAAAAAAAAATCAGCAACATTTAAGGGATAGGCAGAAGAAGGATGTCGAGAAATATAAGAGTCTTAGAGATAAAGGAGTATATGGGCTAATGGCAGCCAAGAGAGTTCAAGAAGGAGGGAGTGGTAAAAAAAAAAAAAAAAAAGTATCAATTGGCTTTAGCAACAGGCCATCAGTGACGTCCATGAAGGCAGTTTCTTTCTTTTTTTTAAACAACAGAAATTTATTTTCTCAGAGTTCTAGACTCTAGAAGTCCAAGATCAAGATGTCAACAGGTTTGGTTTCTTCTTTTTTTATTTATTATTTTTATAGATTTAGAGGGTACAAGTGCAGGTTTGTTATATGGATATATTGAATATTGGTGAGGTCTGGACTATTAGTATATAACCATAACCCAAATAGTGTATGTTGTAGGCAGTTTCAATGGAGTTGTGGGGCAGAAGCCAGATTGGGAGGGGTTAAGGGTTGAGTGGCAGTTGAAGTGGAGACTATAGGTGTGAAGAACTCTTTCATGAAGTTTGGTTGGGAAAGGAATGGTAGAAATAGTAGTTAGAGGGGGAACTTGGGGTTAATAAAAGTGTTTATTTTATTTAGGGTGATGGTTTCAAAGAGAAATAGATCTGCATGTGTTTAAATCCACATAAGAAAGGCCCTGGAGTGAAGAGTTTAATGAGAAAGAGAAAATGAGAGTAGTCGATAAAGGGAGATCTTTGCAAAGGTAGGAAGGGATTAGATCAGAGAATACATAGAGGAATTAGCCTTGGATAGGGGACTGACTGGGGAAATACCTCTTCTTTTGTATTAGTGGGCAACGCAGAAAGTGTAAGCATGGACTCAGTTATGTTCTGAATTGTTGAAGATGGGAATGAGGAATTTGTTTTTTGGGTGCTTTTATTTTCTTTCCAAAATAGAAGATGGGCTCAACTGCTAATTGGGAGTGAGATCCAGCATCAGAGTTTAGAAGAAAGGGGAGAAAGGTTGAAACAGCTGCTATTTCAGATGTCTTTTCAGGCACATATAGGTGCTCAGTAAATATTTATTGGCCAAATAAATTGAATGAATGCATGAATGCTGTGAAGAATTTGTGAGATCTTTAGAAAAACAAAGATTTCGAAAGCCGTTGTTGGAGGATCATGACCTTGAACAACTTTTAATAATGTTTTGTTTTAGGCAATCGTATTTGGGGAAAAGACCTGAAGGGTATACAGCTATCCCATGTAACATGGTCTGCGGACAGTAAAGTCTTACTTTTTGGAATGGCAAATGGGGAAATACACATTTACGATAATCAAGGAAATTTTATGGTAAGTAAGTGTATGCATCAGTCTTGTTTATACAATTTTATATGATTATCGTACATATCATTCATGTTTGTATATACATTTATTTTTTATGGCGGTTTGTGTAATTAAAGTCTTCAATTCAGATTTTTTTTCTTTTTCCCAATCGTCTAAATTTTGTTTTAATTAAATAAAATTTTGGTTTTCTCAAGGCAAATTAGTGCAACAAGTTCGAGTGTAGCTTTTAGTTCCAATTTTTTTTGGTAGGTAGAAAGGACGAGGTGTCAGTGCATTTAAGCAGAGAGATAATGAGTAGGGCGATGTGCAGTTTAAGTTTTATAGGTGTCTTCTGGTGTCTGAAGCCAAAGTTTACATGTAGATACCACAGGGTATTTTTGTAGCAAGCTACCAATGGTTGTTTGTAAAAAGAATGACAGACTTAAATGGTAAGTGAGAAAAATCAATCCCTGGAAAGAAGGTAAAATAGAATAGGATCAGGCAGCATAATCTGGAGAAAAATTCTGGCTTTGCAAGGTTTAGCTATCATAGATGTATGATTACTGGTGGGGCAGTTTTGTTTTTTAGCAAGGGTTAGGACATTAAGTAAATCCACTCACTGGTGGAAGTAAAATAATGAACTTTTATGTCATTTTGCTGTTTTCAAAGTACTTTTATATACTTGTTGTTTGAGTCTCATAAAAACTCAGTGTTTTTTAATCCTCATTTTTTACATGTGGGGAAAATGGACATTTAGGTGATTTGTCCATGGCCTGTATACCAGTAAGTGATTAAGCTTTAATTTGCCACCTGATTTTTAGACTGTATTTTTCAGTGTTCTTTCTACAATACTCTATTGAGTATTGTCTCTATACTGCTGTGTTTTAAAATGTAAAATATTAAACCTAACCAATTTTATTTAGATAAAAATGAAACTGAGTTGTTTGGTGAATGTCACTGGAGCTATCAGCATTGCTGGAATTCATTGGTACCATGGCACAGAAGGCTACGTGGAGCCTGATTGCCCTTGCCTTGCTGTTTGCTTTGATAATGGAAGATGCCAAATAATGAGACATGAGAATGACCAAAGTAAGGAATTTTTCTGTTTAAAAAATTTTTTTAATTTCTATTTTTTTTTTTTTCTTTTTGAGATGGAGTCTCACTCTGTCGCCCAGGCTGGAGTGCAGTGGCACGATCTTGGCTCACGGCAACTTCTGCCTCCCGGGTTCAAGCGAATTTCCTGCCTCAGCCTCCCGAGTAGCTGGGACTACAGGGCGTGCCACTATGCCTGGCTAATTTTTTATATTTTTCGTAGAGACGGGGTTTCACCCTGTTAGCCAGGATAGTCTCTATCTCCTGACCTCGTGATCCACCTGCCTCAGCCTCCCAAAGTGCTGGGATTACAGGCGTGAGCCACTGTGCCCGGCCTCAATTTCTAATTTTTAACTTTTTTTTTTTTGCGACAGGGTCTTGCTCTGTTGCCGAGGCTGGAGTGCAGTGGTGCGTTCTTGGCTCACTGCAGCCTTGGCCTCCCAGGCTCAAGGTCTCAGCCTCCTGAGGAGCTGGGACCACAGGTGTGCACCAACTCCTCCAGCTAATTTTTGTATTTTTCGTAGAGACAGGGTTTCACCATGTTGCCCAGGCCGATCTTGAACTCCTGGACTCAAGTGATCCGCCCGCCTCAGCCTCCTAAAGTGTTGGGATTATAGGCGTGAGCCGTTGTACCCAGCCCTGTTTTTTTAAAAATGTGGAAAGTTTTAAAAATGTTTAAAAGTTGTTCTTAAGATTATAAAGTTCTCTAGGCTACGTATTTTCCCACAGTGACCTCATTTTTCTCTTTCTGACTAGATCCCGTTTTGATTGACACTGGCATGTACGTAGTAGGCATCCAGTGGAACCACATGGGCAGCGTGTTAGCTGTGGCAGGCTTCCAGAAGGCAGCCATGCAGGACAAAGATGTGAACATTGTGCAGTTTTACACTCCGTTTGGTGAGGTAAATGCATTCAAATTGATCTTCTTTCTTTCTATTTAAATGTGCAGTGAGTAAGGTAGAGGAAAAAATAACAAAGGAAACGGTGTAAACTTATCACATTTTCTTTTAGGGACATTTCATCTTCATAGTATAAATCTTTGTTGTATTTTATCATGGAATTTTATAATCTTATAGTTTTATAATTATAAAATAAAAATTACAATTTTATACATTCAGAAAACCAGAAGTTTAACATAAGAAATCACCATGGAGTAGTTATTTTGAATATTTTCTCTGTGATCTGAATATGTGTCTCTTTTCATAGCCAGCTTTTGAGTAGTATTTAGTATAATATAGTTGTTTCAGATTAATTTTTCTGATTTTTAATGTGATATTTTAAATGTGTTTAGATGTTAAACATACATATCTGTCTGTCCTTCCTTCAAACTTCTAATACTTTTAATTTGTTGCAAAGTAATCAGTTATTTGAAGAAAATTTAATAATTAATCTTAGGTGATGCTACATTAAAATAAAAGCATTGTTTTCATAAATGTACATATGAGTATTATCCTTCTCAATAGTATTTTTAATAAATTTAATTTTAAAAGAATTTTCAGAAGTAGCATTGGAAAATGTCAAGTAGGAGAATTAATATATTGTGAATTTTAAAGAATTTAGAAAGTGAGAGCTTATTAATAACTAAGCTTAATACGTTTTTTGAATGTCTTATTTTCTAACCCAGTACTATATTTTGTCCCTTTTGAATACCCTGTTGGCTTTTATAAATTCGCCATAGACTACAGTGATATATATTTTTGGCTGCATAAAAGCCTATACCAGTTGTTTTAATGTTATTTTTATATATTTTAATAATTTCTTTTAGGGCAAGAAATGATGTCTTCTGATGCTTTTGAATCAGTATCTCAAAGTTACCCAGTAGAATATACTGTAGAACGTAGATGCTCTCTATACATTGTCAAACGACAATATTTCTCGTAGATGTAAAAGTGAAGGAAAAAAAAAAGCATAGTTTTCAAGGTTCCTAAATAATTAAAAATCTGCATTCTAATTATTTCTATATTTATAGCCTCCTTCTTAATTCTTGTTCTTTATTGGTTATTTTTGTTGGTTGCCATTTACTTATTTATCATAATGTTTTATCTGCTTATTTTTGTTAGTTCAGCCTTCCCCAGGTAGAAAAACATGGGTTCTAAAGTCTGTTTGTTTGTCTTGCAAAACAATGTGTTAAGTGTTAAACGGAAAACTGTAAGTGGGGTTTGGTTTAGCTGTAACTAAAAGTATCTAGCATAGTTCCTCAGGTCATAGTAGTCAGTATTTTCTGAGTGAGTGAATATATGGGGAATTATTTGGATCTGTGTTATTGTTAAGGTAGGAAAGATAACCTGGATGGAAGTTATCTAACAATTTAAACTTAATGATTTAAACTTAAGAAAACCTCAGAGAAGAATTTGCTTTTAAATTCTGAGGGCCAGGGGCTCCTGGGTTTTGCACTGTGGTCTTAGCCATGGTAGGAGATAACAGAGCATAGGGTTTGTAGTCAAGTTGATCTGGTATTGAATTCATTTTCCACAGTGTAGTTTGACGTAGAGAAGTTATTTAGCCTCTGAGACACAGTTTAGTTATTTTCAGAAATAAAGGAAATACGTCATGGTGCTGTTGTAAAGATTAAAGGAGATTACAATGAGGAAATGCCTACACAGTGCCTGGCATGTAATGAGGGCTTACTAAAAGGTGGTTTTCTTTCCTTGCTGCTGCCACATCCTGGCTGGTTTGCAGTTAGAAGATGGTCGTATTCTCCTCCTCTTATGGATGGGTCAATACCAAGAGTACTGTAGAGGGCTTGCTGGTTCACCTTTAATTTCATACAGGTAGCAAGACAGATAGATCAGACCCTCCTAGGTTAAAACTTTGAGTTTTTTTCTTCCATTGGTTTCCTTGGGAAAATGGAGCTCAATACATTTGTCTTACTCTATTATGTGCTGCTATGACAGAATACCACAGACTGCATAGTATATATTAACAGAAACTTATTGGCTCACAGTTCTGGAGAATGAGAAGTCCAGTATTGAGCTACTGACATCTGGTGAGGGCTTTTCTGCTGCATAATTTCATGGTGGAAGGAAGAAGGGCAAAGAGAGTGCAACAGAGAGACAAGAGGGGACCTAATTCCCCTTTGTATAATGGCAGTAGTCCCAGCCATGAGGGCCCTCATGCCCTGATCACTGCTTAAAGGTCTCATCTCTTAATACTGTCAAAATGGCAATTACATTTCAATGTGAGTTTTGGAGGGGACAGACATTCAAACTATAGTAACATTAAATTTGACCCTAGAGGGTATCTGCTTAGAACAAGGGATACCAGTAAAGTTCATTGAAATTTTGGGGATTCTATCATTCTGTCAAATAAAAGATATAGATTAAAAATGTTCGATTGCCTTATAGCCACATTAAAAAAGTGTTTGTATTCATTTATTCACTCGTTAATTTGGTCATAAAAAGTACTGTTTATTTATTTTAAATTTTAAATTAAAAAAATTTGAATGTATATTTATTGAAGATATATATTGACTATCAGTTTATCAAATAATCTATTAATGGAAAGGGAAAGAAATGTGAATATGATACAGTTAGTACTCTTAAGGAGCTCATTCTGTAATTCTCTGGAACCATAGAATGGGGGAAGAAGGCAGGACTCGTTGAGGAAGCAGTATTTGAGCTGTATCTTGATGGATGAATAGGCGTGCTCCAGGAGGACAAGGACCAGTAAGGATAGGGGAGCTGTGAGGAAAGAAGAGGGGGATTTCAGGCAGAAGGGATATTGTATAGGCCAAAGCTGTGGAGGCAGAGTAGTTCCTTCACGAGCAGGCACACAGCAGTTATGGCTAAATAGTGGGATATTAAGCCACATAATATGATTTTGGACAAGATGGGAAAAAGGCATTGTATGCCATGCTAAAGAATGTGATGGTGGGGATTTACTGATTTTTAAAAGTTATTAAACCTTTTAAAAAGCAGGGTAGGTTATGATTAGATCTGTGTTCCAGAAAGATAATTGTGACAGCAGAGTATAGATTGAATTGGGAGGGCAGAGGGGGAGAATAAGGAAACAGATGAAAAGTAAGATATAAAGTTAGGAAGCTATTACCACAATGCAGTCCATTAAAAAGGTAATTGTAGAGAGTGGAAAGGAGTAAAAGCAGTAGGACTTGGTGACTCGTTGGTTGTGAGGGGATGAAAGAGAAAGACAAGACTTTATGATTGAATTTGCTAATAAAATATTTCATTGATTCTAAGAAATATAATTTTTTACAACTTTAAAATGAGGAGGCATCTTATAATCAAAGTTGCCATATTTTAATTAGCAATGTGTTTTTTCCTTTCCTTAGTTGTACATAAAAATTCATGTTTCAGTCTATGGCATTTTAGATTTGATGAAATTTGCTATTGAATTCTTTGGATATAGTTTGTAAATTTTTCTTATATGCATGTTTTTCATTATAAAAATTCAAGAAACGTGGCTGGGTGCGGTGGCTCACGCCTGTAATCCCAGCAGTTTGGGAGGCCGAGGCAGGCAGATCATGAAGTCAGGAGATCGAGACCATCCTGGCTAACACAGTGAAACCCTGTCTCTACTAAAAATACAAAAAATTAGCTTGGCGTGGTGGCGGGCGCCTGTAGTCCCAGCTACTCAGGAGGCTGAGGCAGGAGAATGGCGTGAACCTGGGAGGCGGAGCTTGCAGTGAGCCGAGATCACGCCACTGCACTCCAGCCTGGGTGAGAGTGAGAAATTCCGTCTCAAAAAAAAAAAAAAAAATTCAAGAAACATGATTTTAAAGTGACTAGTAACTTTTCACAAAATAATGTTCATACCACTTTTGATCTCTGTGAAGTGATTGGTGGTAATTTGTATTTCAGTTAATTGTTATACTTTAGGTTAAAGATAACTTTCTTTTTCAGCATCTGGGTACTTTGAAAGTTCCTGGAAAGGAAATATCTGCACTATCTTGGGAAGGAGGTGGACTGAAAATTGCACTAGCTGTTGATTCCTTTATATATTTTGCAAACATTCGACCTAATTATAAGGTAAATATTAAGAGCAGTTGTAAAATAAACAGTGTTTCTTACTAAATAATTTTGCTATAGCTCAAAGTATATTCAAAGCTGTCTTGTTTTAGGAGCTAGCAGAAAGGAAGCCTTTTTGTGTGAAGATTTTAGAACTAGTAAACTTTTCTAGAATACTATATATAGTTAGTAAAATTACTCCATGAGTCTTAGCCAGAAACAGATGGTACACTCAAAGGAGTAATTGAAGAGAGATTGATGAAGGGCTTATTACAGAGATGTGGGCAGGGCTAAAGGGAACAGTAAGGGATGATAAAAAGTACCACCCAAAGATTAGCGTCAATGAGAAGCCATCACCAGCCCTGGGCCTGAAGGGGCAAGACAAGGGAGTCAGGCTCCTGGAACCCACAAGAGCTGTGGCTGTGCAAGAGGGTCTGCTCTGCAGGAGCCCAGACCCTGCCAACCAGCCAGGCAGAGAGGGATTTGGGGAATAAATATTCCAACTCACCTCTCCACTTGCTGGTGCTTTCTATTGGCCAAACCCAAAGGGGAGCCAGATGGCCAGGTAGCCCAGGTGACGGAGTTCGTAGAAACTAGTCTCCAAGGCTCACGGCAGGGTAGAGAAGGGCAGAGAATGGATTAGAAGGAGAAAATGAGAATAAGCAACATAACATATAATCAGTATTTTATCTTGAATTTAACATTTGATCCAAAAGCAAGCTCTCAAATGTGAGATTGACCTGGTAAACTATTTGTTATAAAAATCTTATATATTTAATTTTGAAAAGGTAAAGGACCTTAGAGAAATGGCTGATTCTAGGACTAGGGCAGGGAAAATACAAGGTAAGCCTGGAACAGTTTATAGTCCCAGCAAGTAAGGAAGTGCTCAGACAACAAAAGGATGGGGAAATGTCAAAAGGACATTGCTGAAAGAGCCTCCCAATGGCCAAAGCTGGAGCACTTTGAATAATAAAATAAATGATGTATTATTTTATTGTGACCCAAAGTATAAATGCCCAAGAGTTGATGCTGATATAGATGGATTATTTGAATAAATAAATAAATGGGAGAGGAGAAACAGATCTTCCTTACAGAATTATTCCAGTTTACTTAGGTATTGCCTTCTCCAGGAGGTGGAACATAGGCCCCTGTTCCCCTGGCTTGAGTGTGGCTACACTTAGTTTCCAAAGAGTAGAGTATGGAGAGGGGAAAAAAAGTAGCTTTATATTGGTGAAACTTGTCAATCACACCTTGGCCAAGTGATAAAGGTTAACATCATTAGGAATGTCATGTGGCTATCACATGCCCCCTGATATGGCATGATAAAGAAGTGCACTTCGGTTCTGTGCTAGTCTTCCTAAAAACCTGAAGTCCAATCTAAGCATGAGGAAAACATCAGACAAACCCAAATTGAGGGACAATCTACAAAATACTTGACCAGTACTCCTCAAAACTGTTGAGGTCATGAAAAGCAAGGAAAGACTGAGAAATTGTCACACCCCAGAGGAGCCTAAGGAGACATGACTAAATCTAAGTATCCCAAATGGGATTCTGGAATAGTGAAAGGACATTCTGGAAAAGATAATGAAATCTAAATAAAGTATGATGTTTACTTAATAGTAATAGTAATATAGTTAATAGTGATGTTGATTTCCTAGTTGTGACAAATGTACCATGGTAAAGTAAAATGTTAACAATAAGGGAAATGGATGAGGAGTATATGGGAACTCTGTGCTATCTTTGCAACTTTTCTGTCCATCTAAAACTATTTTAAAGTAAAAAAACTTATTTTAGAAAGTAATCAGGATACAAAAAGCTAAACATGGTTTAGCTTAGTTTGTTTGAATGGTAAACACAATCATGATAATATCAACATGATATTTTATTTCATTTTTATATTTTTAATATAATTTATGTATTTTTATTTTTTTATTCAAAATTAAATATAAACATGTTGGGAGAGTTAGAAGGGAAAGCTGTAAGTGTGTAAGTTCCATAATCAATAGATAATGTGATACAGAAATAAACACCAGAACAGTTGCAGTTAAAGTAGTTGTACACGACCATTCTAGAGAGAGGAAATTTGGCAGGGGGTTCTACATTTGTTTTTGTTTTAAATAAGCCAGGTAGGATTATTTGACCATATATTATGTGAATATGTTACTCTGATAAAAGCAAATATAAAAAATATGGATGGGGGTAAAAAGGCAAAGTGACTATTTTTGAATTTCGACTTGGAGATCCAGAATTGAAACTTTGACAGGGATCACGCTACCTGTTGTCCCCTCTCCAGCAGTTATTATTGATTATTGAAAATTTTTACCATTGAAGCTTAAATCTTACCAATTAAAATAAGGAAAGTTAGACAAACTAAATTTATATTTGCAGCACATTCTTTGTTTTATAAATCTCTATTATTTTTATAAAAGGTTGAATCTGTCTTCTATTTCTGAAGAATATATTTTGTCAGCAGTGATAAATATCTGCAATATTTTGAGAGTAAAAATAAAATAATGTGATTTGCCTTCCCAATACTAAATAATTCTTCTCCCTTTCAATCTCCTTCCCTTTCCTCCTTCCTTTCTTCCTAGTGGGGTTATTGCTCAAACACTGTAGTTTATGCATATACCAGACCTGATCGTCCAGAATATTGTGTTGTCTTCTGGGATACGAAAAACAATGAAAAATATGTTAAATATGTGAAGGGTCTCATTTCTATTACTACCTGTGGAGATTTCTGCATTTTGGCTACAAAAGCTGATGAAAATCATCCTCAGGTAGGTGTTTCTTGATATCTTAAGACATAGCTGGGCTAACTGCTTGGGTTATAGTTTTCTACCTTTTCAAGCATGGCCTCTACACTGGCAAGTACATCAAAACATTGGGTCTGTTGGCACTATTGGTCTAGACCAATTTTGGAAAACTCTGTGACTCCATTGATGCTGTGTCCCTGATTTTTTTTTTCTTCAAGCAGCTAATCTTATGGCAATTCATACTGACTGGTTTAATACTGAAGCTTTTTGTTTCTGAAATATATTTAAAATACCGCAATCCCTTTTCAAATTAAAATTTCATGAGCAAAAATGAACATCCAGATGTCTACTATGCATAAATGCTGAAGAAATTATGCAGCAATGAACACTTGAGACAGTTTGGGTAGCTTTTGACATTGAGAAATCTACTTTGGAGTTATATTGCTTTTAAAATTAATGTATCATAGCATAACATAAATAATATAAATATGTCTTTTTAAAAAGTATACTAACAACTTAAATATTTGCAGAAGTATGTAAATATTTCTGAAAAGGACTACCAATATCTTTGGCTGTGTTATCAATTATTTTACCCCATTAAAAAGTATAGAGTTTTTTGTTAAAGGTGACTCTTTGAACAGCCATGTTTGCTGGTGTTCTCTCCTGAAACTTGCTAAACAATCGTAAAGGTATTTTTTAAAAAGTCATAAGCCCATAGGGACCAGAAAGGGAAAGGAAATGGCAACAACATTTTGTAGGTTAGAGTAGGTGGATTAGCGGTAATTACCTTAGCAGACCTAAGAAAGCTGAATCATAAGCCATTCAGGGAGAAAACAGAGGCAACTGGCTTAGATCACGGAATCCCAAAGAGGCACAGGACTTGGGGGTACCTGGTGGGAGAAAGAAACAAACATAAAAGCAATTTGGAAGTACCAGAGATTATGCAGAAAAGAGAAAACTTTTTTTAAGAAGAAGGAGATCCCACTCCCCTATACTGAGTCCACAGGCAGCTGCCCTTCTGCCACCTACAACGACTGGGGTTTACTCTCCAGAGAGGATCAAAGAGTCTCTGCGCTGAAGAGCATCAAGCAGAGCTGAGGGTGGGGGAACTCTGCTGAAAACAGGACAATTACGTTAAAAGTTTGCTACTCAACATTACCCAAGTCTTCTTTTCCTATTTGGTTCCCAGAACACTGGCAGCCAAGCATTGAGCTTTGAGGTGGGAGTTTGGAAATCTTCTCAGGAGAATTCGACCTGTTCAAGAGAAAAGCCTTCTAAAGATACTGAGATTGAGAGTCCCCAGGGAAATAGCCCTGCCCATCACCTTACAGTAAAGACGCCAGTCAGTGAGGCTCACTTATAGACAACTCTGTTCCGAACAGCTTTTCAATGTCTGACTCTTAAATATAAGCAGTTAGACAAGGATTGCCAGACATTTGAGAAAGCCATCTAAACACAAGTGGAAAAGAACTTGGAAGAAGCAGAGACTGTGCAGGAAGGACACGTCTGAAAAACATTATTTTGGGGCTGGGTGCGATGGCTCACACCTGTAATCCCAGCACTTTGAGAGACCAAGGCGGGCGGATTACCTGAGGTCGGGAGTTCGAGATCGGCCTGGCTAACATGGTGAAACCCTGTCTCTACTAAATATACAAAATTAGCTGGGCATGGTGGCGCAAGCCTGTAAACCCAGCTACTCGGGAGGCTGAGGCAGGACAGTCGCTTGAACCCGGGAGGCAGAGGTTGCAGTGAGCCAGGATCGTGCCATTGCACTCCAACCTGGGCGAAAGTGAGACTCTGTCTCAAAAAAAAAAAATTATTTTGAAAGAACCATTAATATTACCTTCAGAGAGTTAAGAGATATTACATCCATAAAATAAGAAAAGGATACTATAGAAGAGGAAGTTTTTGGAAATTAAAAATAGGATAACCATAATGAAAACTTTGGCTGGAGGATTAGAAGGTAAAATGAAGGAAAACACTTGTAAAGTGAAGCAAAAGGACAAGGAAATGGAAAATAGGGGTGAAAAGATAAAATTAGAGGACCAGTCCGGGAAGCTTAGCATTTCAATAATATTTCTAAAAAGAGTGAACAGGCCACTTTGGGAGGCCGAGGTGGGCAGATTACCTGAGCTCAGGAGTTCGAGACCGGCCTGGGCAACACGGTGAAACCCTGTCTCTACTAAAATAGAAAAAATTAGCCGGGCGTGGCAGCGTGTGCCTGTAGTCCCAGCTACTCAGGAGGCTGAGGCAGGAGAATTGCTTGAACCCAGGACGCGGAGGTTGCGGTGGGCCGAGATCACGCCACTGCACTCCAGCCTGGGAGACAGAGTAAGACTCTGTCTCCAAAGAAAAAAAAAAAAAAAGAAAAGAAAAGAAAGAAAAAAGAAAAAAAAAGAGTGAACAGGCAAAATATACAAAATACAGGGCAGTAAGTATGAAAAAAAAATTCAAGAAAATTTTCCTTGACGTTCTGGATTGGAAGTGCCTAGCTCAGTGAATAAAAACATTTCCACATTGAGACACATCATTGTAGAATTTCAGAACATTGGGGAGAAAACAATCTTACAAGCTTTCAGGGAGGAAAAACAGATTTCATAACGTCAAGGATCATAAGTGGCATTCTATTTGTCAACAGCAATGGTTTGGAGAATTGCCTCAAAATTTGCAGGGATAGTTTTCCAACTAGAATTCCATAGCTGTAAGTCAACTACTAATTAAATATGAGGGTAGCCCAGCACTTTGGGAGGCCAAGGTGGGCAGATCACCTGAGGTTAGGAGTTTGGGACCAGCCTGGCCAACATGGCAAAACCCTATCTCTACTAAATATACAAAAATTAGCCAGGTGTGGTGGCGGGTGCCTGTAATCCCAGCTACTTGGGAAGCTGAGGCAGGAGAATCGCTTGAACCCTGAAGGCAGAGGCTGCAGTGAGCCGAGATGTGCCACTGCACTCCAGCCTGGGCGACAGAGTGAGACTCTGTCTCAAAGTAAGTAAATAAATAAATAAATAAATAAATAAATAAATGGGTGGAATACAGACATTTTTAGATGTGTAACTCACTAAAAATTTCCCTTCCAAGCTTCCCTATCTTAGGAAGTTACTTTAGGAAATAGTCTAACAAAATGAGGAATAAACCAAGAAAGCAGAAGAAACAGTAGAGTGGACACCAGTGAGGAAGAAAGTACCAGCTGACCATGGTGCAGTGTGTCCAGTGAGTCAGATGAGAGGTCAGAAGGCTCCAAGAGAAATTTAAGGGGATAACAATAGACTACCTGACATATTTGAGCCCTTGCAGCAAGATATACATAATTCAGGGATAATTGGGGATTTGTGTTAGTAATAAGCCCATAGAAGACTAATCAAAGAGAAAAAATACAATTATCGACTACAGAGAAAGCAGAATGTGCTTGAAAAGAAAATAAATCATGATACACTTGATGGCTGAGTTGTGAATAGCATTTACATAGTCAAAATGATGTAATCACCCTTTTTAAACTTAAAACACCTTTTAATTGAAGTATAATAAACATACTGAACCCTAAATTCTGATCCGACAAAATGGTATTAAAAATAGAGAGAGGGATGGAAAGGTGCCCCTGTGTGGTAGGGGTGGGGTGGAAAAGGGAATGAAAGAAAGCTAAAGACTTGTCATTTGTAGTGGGGAGGCAAGAGCTAATGGACTAAATTGAAATAAAACAAGTAGCAGTATAAACACGTTACTTAGATTTGTGGAGGTAATAGCAAAAGGATCGGTAAAGGGAGCAGGAAATGGGAACTTAGGGGGAACTGCCATTTTTTAGTAAGAAGCCTTGTGGATCTATTTGATTTTTGGAACTACTAGCATGTATAACTGATAAAAATGAAAAATATATTAAAAATACAATTTGTGGTATTTTGTGGCAGTAAATAAGCTTATTTTAAGTAGTGGAAGAGTAAATTATGATTTTTTAAAATATGATTTTTATTATTTGGTTTATATTTATGAAATTAATTCAATGAGTTCTTTTTATTTTTTTTTAAATGTTATGGGTAATAGTAGACGTATGTTATCTATGGGGTACCTGAGATGTTTTGAGTAATTAAACAAATTTTAATCGAATGCTGAAAAAAGAAAAAGTCTGTGTAAATAGCACATAAAGAACTGCTTTATTTGAAATTGTTGTTCTAGTCAGGAAAAACATCTAAGTAGAATAGTATTCTTAGTACAAGATACAGAAACAGAGACTAACAGTAAGAAAAATGAAATGATCACTTTAAAACAATGTGATGTAAAATGTGCATTACGTTTGATTATTTTCCTAATATTGGTCATTGATGATTATTTGTATATAAGCCACTTTCATTAGGTTGAGTCATGTCTTTTTTGAGTTAACTGAATTTTTCTGAATTTCTCCTGTCATTTATATATTGCTTCAAAGGAGGAGAACGAGATGGAGACATTTGGTGCAACGGTAACAAATGAAATTAGCTCTTATATAGCTGATCATAGGATAAAAATGAGTTTTGAGGTTATAGCTGATCAGAAACTGTAGCAATATGAGGGGACTTCAGAAGGTTCATGGAAAAATGGAATTAACAGATAAAAATAAAAATAGAAACTTTATTTTTCAACATAAGCTCCATCAAGGTCAAGACATTTTTGTAAGCAATGATAACAGATATTTAGTCCATCCCTAAAGAACTGAGGGTCCTGGGAATTTAACCATGTCAATGCAGTCTTTTTTACATTATTAACTAAAGATAAATGGGTACCCTTTAAGGATTTTTTAAGATTAGGAAACAAAAGGAAGTCTGGAGCCAAATCAGGACTGTAAAGTGGATGGATGCCTAATGATTTCCCGCCAAAACTCTAGCAAAATTGCCCTTGTTTGATGAATAGAATGAGCAGGAGCATTGTCATGGTGGGGAGAGACTCTGGTGAAGTTTTCCCAGGCATTTTTCTGCTAAAGCTTTGGCTGACTTTCTCAAGACATTCTCATAGTAAGTGGACATTATTGTCCTTTGGCCCTTCAGAAAGTCAACAAGCAAAATGCCTTGAGCATCCCCCAAAACTGTCGCCATGACCTTTGCTCTTGGCGGTCTGCTTTTGCTTTGACTGGACCACTTCCACCACTTGGTAACCATTGCTTTGATTGTGCTTTGCATTCAGGATCATACAGGCAAAGCCATGTTTCATCTCCTTTTGCAATTTTTGAAGAAATGCCTCAGGTTCTTGATACCACCTGTTTGAAATTTCCATTTACTGCTCTGCTCCTGTGTGCAGCTGATCTGGGTGCAACGGATTTGGCACCCATTGAGTGGAAAGTTGGCTTAACTCAAATTTTTCAGTCAGAATTGTGTGAGCTGAGCCAGTTGAGATGTCTATAGTGTTGACTATTGTTTCTGCTGTTAATTGTTAGTCCTCTTCAATTAGGGCAGAAACAAGATGAGATTCATTTTTTCCTTGCAAATTGACATGGATGGTCTGCTGTTGCAGGTTTCATCTTTACTTTGTCTTGTCCCTTCTTAAAGTGAGTTGTCCTTTTGTAGACTGCTGATTTCTTTAGGGCATTGTCCCCATAAACTTTTCATAAAGGATTGATGATTTCACCATTCTTCCACCCAAGCTGCACCATAAATTTGATGTTTTTTCTTGCTTCAATTTTAGCAGAATTAATGTTTCTTTGACAGGGCTTTTTTTCAAACTGCTGCCATCTCCTTCTTAGTGCTTCAAACTAGATCCTGTTCAAACATGTTTTAACAAGTTAGTGCACGTTTATTTTGATGCAAACAATTTTTAAATCCATGCTTATTTTTTCCATAATACACATTTTCCATAAACTTTTTGAAGACCCCTTGTATAAATGATGAAAAGTAGCCAGAGTACTTGTGTTTCTTGTGTCTTCTTAAAAACCACAGTGTTCCATTACATTGAGAAAGCAGCCTTGGTTTAGTATTAACTGATCTTTCTTTATATTTAATGCTGTAAATCATCTTTCTTTTTGTCTGCTATTTTTTGCACGTAACAGTTTCATCAGTTATTTCCCAGTTAGCAATACTTGAAAAAGAGATAAGCATGATATATATTAAGCATATTTCCTTTATTATTCATAAGCAGGAGTTCTGATACTTTTTGTTTTATTTGTTCACAGTTTGTACTAGTTCTTTGTAATTCTATTGGTACACCCTTGGATCCCAAATACATTGATATTGGTAAGGAAATGTTGATATTTATTTCTTTTCCAATCAGGTTTTATTTGTAACACTAATTTAAAAACCTAACACTGGTATTATTAATTAGAATGGTGTTTTCTAAAACGAGGATGACCATACTTCCTACTTTGTCAGATCCAGTACCAGTTTATATCTGTTACCATGGTAGAATTCTTAATATCCCATTTTACTCTCAAAAGTATCCTGGTTAAGACAGTAAATTATAAGGTTAGTCTATCTAAAATCCATTATAATTTCACAACTGCTATAGTACCATCATTCGCTTTAAATGGGAAATATAATTGTGTAGGAATTGGTATGCAGCGTAATGATTAGTATGTAATAAACTGAGGATTATAGAAAGAATTTTGCTATTAAACCACTTTCATTATTAATAAACTGCTTGTAAATACCTCTCTTCCATAAAAACACTTTGGCTGCTTGTAAAAGTGAGTTTGCCCTTTCCAGATTTTTCTAATGAAATGAGTCTATTAATAGGGACAGTTTTAAAAATTCCTGACTTTTTGTTTTCAAAGGACTTTTGTTACTTTAGATTTACTATTCCCTCTACCCAATAACTATGAAAGTAACCCATTAAAAATTCCAAATCTTATTCTAAGTAGATTATTAAAAATCATTAACAAGTATTTTGTTGCCATTTCACTGTAACTTCCAAAAGTAATGATTTTCTTTTAATGTGTATGGTAGTATATTGGATACAGTATTGTAAAAATTATTAAATCTAAGAAATTAAAAACCCATTGCATTATTCCTGAGAACCTGAGAACTAGTCATTTTTTTTTCATATTGGACATTTAGCCTAAGCAATTAAGTATTAATGCCTGTTGCCTTTTGAGTGTTTGCATTTTGCTAAGTGTTTGTTGAAAAAATTGCTAAGTGTTTGGGTGATAATAGCAAATATGAGAAATAATGACCTCAAAGACTTTATACTCTATGGCTTAGGGTCTTGATAACCTACTCACTTAGATATATTGACACATTTCAACTTCATGTCTTACATTCATTGCTACATAGGCATGTTTATATGTTTTATATGTGTATATATTTATATACACATATATATACACATTAGTGTTCCTTGTTAAAAAGCTTAGCTTAAAATTATTAACAGACTCTCATCACATAAATATCTCTTGTTTATTAGAAGCATTAACAGTCTTTAAGAGGTAAATTTTGTCAGTCTTCAGATTATATGCTTTTTCTTTTAATATCCAAAGTTTTAACATAGAATCATAATGGTGATAGGGTTAATGTCAAAGTAATTTTTATCACAAGTAGACTGTTTTTTTAAAATAAAGCTAAATGTAAATCCTTCTTCATAAAATGGCAAATACTTGAGAGCATGACTATTTGTATTTTTGAGTCTCAAAACTTTTTTTTTTTGTAGTCTTGCTGACTGAGATTTTAACAAACAGTTCTTTCATTGGCCTGCAGTGAACACAGCCAAAGACTCAACATTTTTGTTTCATACATATCCTGTAAAATTTCTTTTTTAAAGTTTCTATGCCAAATGTTTATGAGGACTAGAGGCTAAAATAAAAAAAGTCTGTGAGTGATACTCTTCTAGAATTTATTATTTTTGTTTTGCCACCTACTCTTCCTCTTTATAATTTTTGTAGAAACTTTAAAATGAACTTTATAGATTATTATAGAAGTGTAGTTTGTGGGACTCTGTTATACTCTACACATGAGAGTTAGGTATCCTTTTTTGGTGTTCTTTTCTTGAGCACTCATAATACCTTTGGTGTGCTTCCATCCAAAATACCTCTTAACCTGCACTGTGGTTACTAATTTTCTTGTCTATCTTCCCCACTAGACTTTGAACTTCTTAAAGATCTACGTCTAATTAACTTCTGTATCCCCATGACCTAACACTGCCTTGGCCCATAATAAATGTTTATTGAATGCATGGAAATTATTTATTTTCTATCATGTAAATAAAAAATGATGATTCATTTATTTAGCAAACTATCAATGAGTATATACTGTTTCAGGTACTGTACTGGTCACTGGGAATAATAAGAAATTAATTATGACATTTCCTGTGGGATTTCTGAACAAATAATTAAAACCTAGTTAATTCATTGAACAGTGATTTATTGCTTCCCTACTGCGTGCTAGGTATTGCTCTAGGTGCCAGGTAAATGGTTATTGGTGCATAAGGACATCAGAGACATCTTTCTACTTAGAGAAGGTTTCATTTGAGCTGAGTTTTGAAAAGTAAGTATTTCTTTAGGTGATATTTCAAGGAAAGAAAACGGCATTTGCAGAGGAATGAAGGCATGGAAAGTGGCCATCAAGTACCAGTTTGCCTATGCTGCAGCCATTTTAGTGGGAGCACATGGGCAGCTTTCTAATGATGGTATCTAACACGTGCACTAGGTTTTCCATATATTTTAGAGAAAGTTAATTTGATGAAAACATTTCAGTGAAATTTCAATTTACCAGCACTTGAAAGGGCTGAGAAATGAATAAATGGGAAAGTGGGTGAACATTACAGATGTAGGCATTTATTTCATGCCTTAGCATTAAAATATTACAAGCAGGTTTTATTTATATGTGAATTCCAAGATTGTTTTAAATTATTTTACATCCTTGCTTGGCTAGTAATGACTGCCTATTAGCATTACAAAGTTCAGTTAATGAAAGCATAATTATTTTCTTAAAAACTTTTTTTCCAAGCTGGGCATGGTGGCTCACTCCTGTAATCCCAGCACTTTGGGAGGCTGAGGTGGGTAGATCACCTGAGGTCAGGAGTTCAAGACCAGCCTGGCCAAAATGGCAAAACCCCATCTCTACTAAAAATACGAAAATTAGCCAGACATGGTGGCATGCACCTGTAATCCCAGCTACTTGGGAGGCTGTGGCAGGAGAATCGCTTGAACCCAGGAGGCAGAGGTTGCACTGAGCAAAGATCGTGCCACAGCTCTCCAGCCTGGGTGACACAGCAAGACACCGTCTCAAAAAAAAAAAAAATCCAATAACCTTTCTAGATATTTCAAATTTTTTTCTTTTCAGATATTGAACAGTCAAAAAGGGCATGGAGGGCCTTCATCTTGGCTGTGTTCTTGTCCTAAAACATTGTATCTGTTAAGATTTTGTTTTGCTTTTCCTAGAAGCTTAGTCTAGATGGGATGAATCTTAATAAAGATCTAGCAAAATATGTATAGATAGGATTATCTACCCATATGAATTTGCTGAAATTACCACCTTACTGATTCAAAAGAACATATTTTTCAGATATATTTCTATTTTTTGTAGTAACTGAGAATTTATATATGGTTTTATTATAAAATCCTATGTAGGTGATAAAAGTGAAAAGAACAATAGCAACCATGTCTAACTAATACTTCTTAATCCTTAGTGAGGGTCAGTCTGCTCTAGTAGTTAAGAGCAGTTTCTGGAGCCAGATTGACCAGGTTTGTGTCCAGCTCTACTACTTTCTAACTGTGTGATATGGGCAAATTCACATGCCTCAGTTTCTTTATCTGCTAAATGAGGACAATAACGCCTACCTTATAGGGAAGTTGTGAGTTAATATGTGTTATATATTTAGAACACTGCCTGTCATATTTTTAAACATTCAATAAATACTGTCTTTTAAAAGTATTATTGGCCGGGCGCGGTGGCTCACGCCTGTAATCCCAGCACTTTGGGAGGCCAAGACGGGCGGATCACGAGGTCAGGAGATCGAGACCATCCTGGCTAACACGGTGAAACCCCGTCTCTACTAAAAATACAAAAATTAGCCGGGCATGGTGGCGCGCGCCTGTAGTCCCAGCTACACTGGAGGCTGAGGCAGGAGAATGGCGTGAACCCGGGAGGCGGAGCTTGCAGTGAGTCGAGACCGTGCCACTGCACTCCAGCCTGGGCGACAGAGCGAAACTCCGTCTCAAAAAAAAAAAAAAAAAAAAGTATTATTAAGCGTGTACTCTATGCCAGGCACTGTGCTATGCTATAATTTATATTGTATTTATATTTATATTGTTATCTCTCTTAAACTTTCAAACAGCTCTGTAGGGTTGGCATTATTATTATTTTCAACTTACAGTAAGTAAACTGAGAGAACAAATAATTTATTCAAGGCCACAGAATTAACAAGTGCCTGTCATTTGAATCCAAGAAGTCTGACTCTTACCTTGAACCACTAACATTTTAATTTTGAAGTAATCAGGCTAATGATAAACCCTTGTGAGTATTTAGGATCTATCAAAAAGAAAGGAACATGAGTGTAATTTATAATTGTAGGTAAACATTGGTTGGAAGAATGCTTTTATATACTTAGGAAAAAATGAGATTTTATTAGAAAGCAGTTAAGGTGTGCAAACTTGCTTCAAATTACACTAAGGGCATAATAGTTACCAGCATTAGAGTATCCATGGTGGAATTTACTAAATATTTAAAAAATTCTTAAGATTTAGTGAAGACCAGGTCAGGGAAAGGAGAGCGCAGCCTGACCTGGCAGGAGCGCACCCTGGAGGCTTTGCTGTCAGTCTCCATGCCTGGCTTTCAGCAAAGTGCTCCTTCCAAGAAAGGCTTTGAGCTCCCTCCAGAGGTTGGTAATAGTACACATTTTGAATGAAAAAATCTTGACAGTTACAGTGAAAAAAGAATTAAAAAAAAAATTACTCAGTTGGACTGAGTTATTTAGCATATAAAAATTATTGAATTTAATCCCTGAGTTGTTAACCCACTCAATTAACATCATACCATCAGACTAGTTTCTAATTCTTTGTTCAGTTTCTAAGTCTCTTGCTGCCTCAAATGTCCTTTGTCTGCACTCTGGCAAGAACTCTATAAATGGTACCTCCTAGTAACGTTATGTCTTTATTCCGGCCATATTAATGATTACATTGCATAGTATTTATAATAGAGAAATTAAGTTTTACACTGTTTTGATTGTTCATGAATTTAGAAAACAGGTAGTATAATCTGTTTGTGACGGAGTTTTTTGCTTTTATGTATTTCGTATGAGTGTTTAATTTTATGTTGTTTATTTTGTGTTTTGTGACCTTGGGCAAATTGTTCTACTTCTTTAAACCTCTGTTTATTTATCTATAAGATGGATTTGATGAGACTATCTACTTCATAAAAGCATATACAGTAGGAGCTCAATTAAATGTTCTCTAAGAAATGGGCAGATGAAAAGAATTATTTGCTTAGGAGAATATATTTCCAATACATATTAGGAATATTAAAAATTATTTGTTTAGAAGAATATATTCCTTAGGAAGGGACTTGGGAGATTTTTCTTTTCTAAATTAGAGTAGAAATATAAGATGTGGCCAGGCGGGGTGGCTCATGCCTGTAATCCCAGCACTTTGGGAGGCTGAGGCGGGCAGATGGTGAGGTCAAGAGATGGAGACAATCTGGCCAACATGGTGAAACCCCGTCTCTACTAAAAATACAAAAATTAGCTGGGCGTGGTGGTGCGTGCCTGTAGTTTCAGCTACTCTGGAGGCTGAGGCAGGAGAATTGCTTGAACCCGGGAGGCAGAGGTTGCAATGAGCTGAGATCACACCACTGCACTCCAGCCTGGGCGACAGAGTGAGACTCTGAACCAGGTAGTAATTGGTAGTGGGGATGGGAGGAAGGACTGGGATTTTATTTATTCATTTTTCAATTAATGGTTGTTTGAGTTGTTTCTACTTTTGATCATTATAAATAATGTTGTTATGAACATCAGCATATGAGTTTTTGTGTGGACATGTTTTTATTTTTCTTGGGTACATACCTAGGAGTGGAATTGCTGAGGCATATAGTAACTCTGTATTTAACATTTTGAGGAGTTGCTGAACTGTTTACCAAAGTGAACACACCATATTACATTCCCAGATTTCTCCATAACCTTGCTAACACTTGTTATTGTCTGACTGTTTGATTCTAGCCATCCTAGTGGGTGTGAGGTGGTATCTCATTGTGGTTTTGATTTGCACTTCCTGATGGCTAATGTTGTTGATCATCTTTTTCATGTGCTTATTGGCCATTTGTGTATCTTCACTGTAGAAATGTCTATTTGTATCCGTTGCTCACTTTTAAATTGGGCTATTTGTCTTTATTATTGAGTTGTAAGAGTTCTTTATATTTTCTAGATAAAATTTCTTTTCAGATACACGATTTGCAAATATTTTCTCCCATTCTATGGGTTGTCTTTACTTTCTTGATAGTGTCCTTTGAAGCCCAAATGTTTTTAATTTTAATGAAGTCTAATTTATCTAATTTTTCTTTTGTCATTTGTGTTTTTGGTGTCATATCTAAGAAGCCAATTATTGCCTGACCAAAGGTCATAAAGGTGTATTCCCAAGTTTTCTTTAAGTGTTTATGGTTTTAGCATTTGAGTCTCTGATTTATTTTGAGTTAGTATCGTTGTATGATGCTACAAGCTTTTGATTCTTTTCTGATTTCAGAGACTGTGTATGGGTATTTTGAGACTATGTGGGGGTATATTGTCTATAAAATGAGGGGTTGAACTCCGTGATTACTAAAGGCCTTTGCAGCACAAGCATTCTGCAATTCTGTGTAACTGTAAATTATCTTAATGTTATTTTTAACAGTACCATTGTTTGTTGCAATGACCAAAACCCATGTGATAGCAGCCTCGAAAGAAGCATTTTATACCTGGCAATATCGTGTGGCAAAGAAGCTCACAGCATTGGAAATTAATCAGATCACACGGTCTCGAAAAGAAGGGAGAGAAAGGTATATCTTTTGATACATACTTTTTAGTAGCTCAACCATATCACATTGAAGTCAGACATAGTAATTGTAAATTGTCATGCTTGATAACTGTAGTGTCTTGATTAGTAGAAATGTTTTTTCAATTAATTTGATTATCTTTAAAATTTATGTGTTTAAATTTATTAAAATAAAAGAGAAGTAGAATGGTTTAATAAAGTCCTTAGAGATAAAGAGTGGAAAGCTGTGTTTTTATAAGGAAATGGCTGTCCTCACTTACCCTCCCCACCAGATTAGAGTTAATATGCTATACTAAAATATGATTATTCACTTGAGATCGAAGGATCTAACTAAGGGTTTATTCCTATACATTAGTGGTATAGGTTTTCCCAAGAGGGTGGGGTGATTCCAATATCAGTGACCAGAGGAGAGGCAGGCCTTTAGACACACATATGGAAGAAGTCTTTAGGTGGGGTGAACTGGGGACTTAGCTTCTTTTTCTTGCCCTGGTTTCCAAGGATTCTGGAGTTGGAATTACTTCTAGTAAGTGGGGTGAAAAGGGCTCTGCCACATAGTAGATAGGTTAGAAGCCAGGATAGAGGGATTCCCCACAGTAAGTCTGTAAGTGAAGAAGCATTTACTGTGTTTTGTAAGTTATATTGTCTCCATTAGTGATACTCTGTGTTTGCTGCTCTTCTGTTGTTACTCTAAGCCTGTAAGTAAAGCATTTTGTTGAATGTTTTAACCTAAGGATTCTTAATGGGGACACAGGCCTGTGTTGGTGGAAGTGAGTGGTACAGTCATGACAGAAATGCTAGGTGTTTTTTCAAATCATTATCCTCCCTCACATCCTTGAGATCTTAAAGCAGACTCCCCTTGCCTTTCCTTTAAGACTCACTCATGTGCTAAGATGGGAGATGGATCCTCAGTAAAAGTATGTTGATGGGAGGCTGAGGCAGGAGAATGGCGTGAACCCGGGAGGCGGAGCTTGCAGTGAGCCGAGATCCCGCCACTGCACTCCAGCCTGGGCGACAGAGCGAGACTCCGTCTCAAAAAAAAAAAAAAAAAAAAAAAAAGTATGTTGAGTATGCGAATTCATGTGGAGGCAGGAAAAAAAGATTGAAAAATGTTATATCTTTTGTTCTCAGTGGTGCTGGAAGACCAAATGGAAAGAATCTTTGGAAGGAATCTTTGGCCAGTATGTGGTAGTCCTCATGCTGGTAGGCGTTACCGTGGTAGCAATAATAAGCAGAGGCCTGCAATCTTGTGGGAGAAGGTAGATCTTAGGACAAAGTTGAAGCAGAAAGCCTAGCCTCTCCAGAGTGTCTTATAGCTGCTAAAGAGATTATGACATTAGTTTAAATCAAGAAGACAGCATTTCCTTATGTTTCTGTCTGGGATATGTGTACTGGTTTGAATAACTTTGAGTAGGTTCCCCTTAGAACTCAGTTTCCTCATCTCTAAGGTACAGTTGATGATGGTGATAACAGCCAACATTTATTGGGTACTTCTTACGTGCCAGACACTTTCATAAATCTAATCAGTGCTCATTATTCTTGTTTTGCAGAGAGGAAACAGACACATGAGCTTAAAGTATTTGCCAAAGGTCACCAGTGGAAGCTAAATAATGTGTACACATGGACATAAAGTGTGGAATAATAGACATTGGAGACTCAGAAGGGTGGGAGGGTAGTAGGGGGTAAGGGATAAGAAATTACTTAATGTGTACAGTGTACATTACTTGGGTTGTGGTTGCACTAAAAGCCCAGACATCACCACTACTCAATATATCCATATAACAGAACTGTACTTTTGTACCCCTTAAATTTATTTTAAAATAATAATACAGGTACAGGTACTAGAGAGACAGTGGATGTCCAAAAGTGATACCCCTTCCTAACACAGGAAAGGGTAGGAAAGGCTTCTTTACTTCAGCGCAGAAGTTGCATTAATTAGAACCTCCTAAATCCACTTAAATTTTACTTTTATTAAACACATTGATAGAAGAGAAATTATGGAGAAACAACAGAGAAAGTTAGTGAATTAGATGTTACTCTTTACTGATGTTCAAGTGGAGGGTAAGGTAAAATGTCTCTCTGGGCTTAATGAAATTCATCGGGAATATATGATGAAATGTTCAGATATGTTTTTGGTACAGCTTTCAGGAACGTATCATTTATATAACTAGTAAACACCTGGTAGATAATTTTTATCTTCATTAAGATTTAACTGTGTTGAGAACTCTCTAAAATAATCAGAATTTTTATATTAAATAACAGTATTAATTGATGTTGTCCAATCGTTTATTCTAGAGATTATGAAATAGTATAAACTATACTTAAACTTTCTTTGAAATTCTGATCTTTTTTGCAGAATTTATCATGTTGATGATACCCCTTCTGGATCAATGGATGGTGTGCTTGATTATAGTAAAACCATTCAAGTAGGTGATTTTAATTTTTCCAGAAAATGTTAATATCTGTAGATTTGAAATATTATAATTTTATTTTGAAACCTGAAAAATAATTTGTTTCCAGTGAATAGGATATTATTTTAGCAATTCTTTAAAAAAATCCTCTTCTGTAAACTTTTTCCTAGATCTTAAAAATTCTTGAACTAAAATAAAGATGGTAGATGGTGATAAGTAGCTAATATACTACTTAGAAAAGCGTATTATCTAAAAATGTTGGAAAACATAACTCCTCCTCTCCTCCTCACACCTTCCCATCTGTCTATCTCTTTATCTGTCTATCAGTTGACCATGGATTGGTCTGTCATCCCTGGCGTATTAGTGAGTGCATATATTTTGCAGATAATATAGTTAACTGTTTCTTTATGAAAATATGCTTCTGTTTACAAACTAATATAATTTGCTATTTCAGTAAATAGTTTTTGAAATGATTTTCTCAGAGTATTTAAAGTAGTGCCTATTGTTTATAAAACTGTTGTCTCATTTCTTATCTGATGCTCAAAACTCTGTAAGTCAATCAGCATGTCATCTCCTCTCTTACAGGTTAGAAAACTGTTAGAGAAGTTCACTGATTTACTCAGGATCATAAAATGATTAAGTAACAAAGCAAGGGTGCAAGCTTAATTTTTTGACAGCAGATCTAGTGATGTATCTACTAGAATATGCAAGAGTTCATCTAGTCATCTACATATCCATCCATTTTTTTCAATTAAGTATTTTTTGAATGTCTATTAAGTGTGAGACATTGGAGTAGGTGCTGGGAATCTACTGGTGAATAAGAAACAGTCGCTTTAACAGGGAACTTTTGGGAAATTGATTCATCATCAACCAGCTTTTCTCCTGTACCCTCACATAAATTAAAATAGATGCCATCTTAAAAACAACAGAAGTTTCCATTGTCAACCACGTATTTTCTTCCAGCTACTACCTTCTCTCTTCCTCCTTTCGTAGCTGAGTTTCTTGAAAGACTATTCTGTATTCATCTTTCCCCTACTGTTCATTCCATCTGCACTTCATTGCATTCTGGTTTCCAGAAGACTTTGAATTGCCAAGTCTGATAGGTCTTTTTCTGTCTTTATATTATTTGATCTACACATTACATTTAATATTTTTAATGACTACTTTTTTCTTCTTGGCTTTCATGAAACTACACTCCTGGTTTTATCTCTGGCTTTTCCTTCTGAGTCTTCTTTGTCAAGGGTTCATCTATGCATCACTTATTGTGATATTCCCTAATGTCTAGCCCTAAGCCATCTACCTTTTTTAAAAAAACCTGTGAATACACTCTTCTTAGTGTTCTTAATGAAATCCACCCCTTTAATCATATGCCAACAACTCTAATATGTATATTTCCAATGTTGAGTTTTTTCAATTTCTGAATAACATATTTCTTGCCATCTGGATAGCAAGAAATTGAGCAGCTCAAAAGCCCCCCAAGTTTAATCTGCCTGAGGCTGAACTCAGCTTCCCTCCCAATTCATTTCTGCATATATATTCTATATATCAGTGGTTGGCTTCACTATCTTTGCAAGAATCACGAGAACTCATTTTCTCTTGCTTTCCACGTCTAATAAATCACCAAGTCCTCTGGATTCTGTTTCCTAAATTTCCCTCAAATTGGCTTTCCCCTTTCCATCTCTGTATCAGTTTGGTCTACCATTAGTTTCTGCCTAGGTCACTGCAATAATTTCCATCCAGCACTGCCCAATGGAACTTCTTGTGATAATGGAAATACTGTGTGTCTTTGTTCTCCAGTGCAGTAGCCATTAGCCGTATGTGGCTATTGAGTACTTAAAATATGGCTAGTTCAACTGAAGAACTGAATTTTAAATTTTATTTCACTGTCATTAATTGAAGTTTACATTTAAATGGTGACATCAGGTTAGTGGCTACCATATCGAACAGTACAGAATCGCCTCTCTACTTTCAGTTTTCCCCATCCCCACTATGCCAATCCATTTATTATACTTCTGGCCACTGCAGCCTTTCTAAAATATAAATCTAATCATGTTACATATAGTTCCTCCCCTCCCCAATTACAAGCTTTCTGTAAGTTCCCATATTTTTCAGAATAAAGTATAAATAGCCACAACTACTCCTCCTTCCTGGCCCACTTCCCAGTATATTCCTCAGATACCAGCTGTGGCAAACAACTTGAAATTTCCTGAATGTATCATGCTGGTTTTTAAAATTTTTTATTAAAAAACATTTTACCTTGAAATAATTGTAGGCTAATAGAAAATTGCAAAAAGAGTCCCTTCACTCAGCTTTCTTCAGTGGTGTCATCTTATGTAAGTGTAGTAGAGTATTAAAACCAGGAAACTGACATTGGCGCAGTACTGTAACTAGACTATGAGCTTATTCAGTTTTCAGTTGTTTTTACATGTGCTAATAGGTGTGCGTGTGTAGGTTTATCTAGTTTTATCACCATAAGGGATCTTATCTCTTTTTTCTTCATTTTCTTTTTTTTTTTTGAGACAGAGTCTTGCACTGTTGCCCAGGCTGGAGTGCAGTGGTGTGATCTCGGCTCACTGCAGCCTCCGCCTCCTGGGTTCAAGTGATTCTCCTGCCTCAGCCTCCCAAGTAGCTGGGCCCAGTCCCATTCTTGTCCCCTGGCAATCATTAATATGTTCTCCATCTCTATAGTTTTGTTACTTTGAGAATGTTTTATGGATAGAATCATATAGTATGTCACCTTTTGAGATTGGCTTTTTCACTAAGCGTAATGCCCTAGAGACTTGTCCAGGTTGTTGCAGTGCAATGCCTTCTTACATTTCCTCAATTTAGTATGTGCTGGCCCTTCTGCTGTCTGTTTCTCTTTTAGGCCTGAGCTCAGGTTTTTGCCTGTCTTGGTGTAAGTTAGGTACTCCTTTCTCTGCACTGTCATAACCTCTGTTTCTGTCTCTTCTTTTATCATACTGTCCTGCAATGAGGTGTTTAGTTCACTGTCTTCCTCAATAGACTTTTCAGTAATCTCTGAAGATGAAGATTTCATCTGAGTATCTCTAGTGCTTAGTTCAGTGGTTGGCACATAGTAGGTGCTCAGCAGTAAATAAATGTTGGTTAAGTTAAGAAATATTGACTGCTTAGTGAATTGCATACTACGTTGTACCAGGTTAGTTATTCAATAAATGTTTGTTGAATAGTAATGATTGATTAATTTATTTTAGGGCACAAGGGATCCAATTTGTGCCATAACTGCATCAGATAAGATATTGATTGTGGTAAGTTTTGCAAAAACTTATTTTATGAATAATAATTCTTTAAATTATAAAAATATGGTAGGAGCCAGGTGTGTGCCCCATGTCTGTAATCACAGTTACTTGGGAAGCTGAAGCAGGAGGATTGCTTGAGGCCAGGAAATGGAGACCAGACTGAGAACATAGTGAAACCTTGTCTCTAAAAAAAAAAATTACAGTAAAGTTTTGAATATCATCTTATGGGCACCCCAAGTTTTACTGTACCCTTAATATAAGTTCAGTATGAGAAATAAGAAAGTTTTAAAGCTTTCCTCGCTAATAATTAACCATTTGCAAAAACAGCTATTTATGAAAGCAGTACAGGGATGACCAGCCGAGAAGACAGAGTACACTTACAGTTTCTAACACTGAGTGGAATGAGCCCTGTGGAAGATTGCATGGTGGTGGGGCAGATTGCATGGTGGTAGTAGGTATTAGAAAGTTTCCTCCTTTGTGTAGCCCGATATTTTATGTTGGAGAAAGTGCTTTGGCTCAGCCACTTTCATAAGACTTAGAATGACGAGGTAACATGTTTGCCAGCCAGTAAAATAGAGAAGCCTATGGCAAATTTCAGCTGAATTTTTCAAATAGAATCAATGGCATAGTGTCTTTTCTTGAGCTCTGAGATTTGAAAATATTAATTTTAGAAATTAATGTTTACTTTTATACAGTAATGCTGCTGGGGTTATTGCATTTGAATTATGTAAACAAAACCTTAATAGTATATATTCTAGTTCTAGTTACATTCCTCAGCCATGAGCTAATTTTATGGGGGGAAAAATCTTAAGAGCATAGTATTTCTATAGTATTCCCTCCTTTCTGATAAGCCCTCATGAGACTCATGCTGCAAAAGCAGTGGTTCTCTGATTAAAAAGAAGAGAGTTAAAGATCAGCTGTGTGGAGGCTTCCACTTTGTCCCACTGCCATGGCCTGAGGCAGCCAAGGGTTTGAAACCCACAGTTCTCTCATGGCATTATACTTACTGTTGATATGTCAACCTTAAGATTTGCCCTGAGTTGTGTACAAAATTATATGCTGCTTTATTTTTTAAACTTATTTAAACTAATATTCATAGTATCCCTGCATTCAGATCATCTTTCCTTTTGCTAAAAACTAGTATCAGATAGATGACTATAGGATAAAAACCTAGACCTTCAGTAACAGCTATATCATATGATCTTCTGTTGATTTTTCATATACATATGTAATTTAACTCAACAAGTACTTTGCTTTAGCTTTTAATGTGCCCTGAATATTAACCTAGATAACAAATATAAATAACTTTAGATTTTTTTTCCTTGTGATGTAAGAATTTGTGTATTGCCAAAGTGCTAGGTTTCTGACTTCTTTCTTGAATATTACATGAAAAAAAATTAGAATACTTCAGCTGTTTGAAAAAGGTTTAATTAAATTAGTAGGTAAATATGTACTTAAGGACATGATTCATTATCAGAATTGAGAATTTGCTGTGACATCACTTTGGTTTTAAGACAAATGTATAGACATATAGAGAAATAGTTGTAGTTTAATATTATTATGATACACGTATGCTTAAGTAATCAAAAGTAATTTCCATAGGGTCGTGAATCTGGCACCATTCAGAGATACAGTCTACCTAATGTTGGTTTGATTCAAAAATATTCCCTTAATTGTCGAGCCTACCAGTTATCCTTGAATTGCAACTCTAGGTAAGCCTGAAAACTCTGCTCATGTAGATGTTAGACTTAGAAATGATCAGTTGGGATTGTTAGATTTATATGTAATAAATGTAAAGATGGGCGTGTCTATTATGAACTTGTCTTAAAATTCAGTATGGTTTTATTTTATACTGCATTTGGTTTAAATGTTTTTAATTGGGCGTGTGGAAGTACTAGTATAATTTTTTACTCTTAAAGCTTAAAAGCATTGAGACTATTTTATATTTCATACCAATTGGTTTTGTCTCTGGATACATTTTCCTCAGAAGAGAGCAAAATAGAGAGTAGTCCATATCTTGTATCAAATTTATTTAACAAAATTTTAAGCCATTTCTACTGTATTCCAGGTTTCTGATAATCTGATTTTGAAGAAGAATGGCTATAGGTAATTATTCTCATGATTGCTGATAGTAATTTTATAGTTTTTTCCTTTTCTCTAATTGCATTGTTTTTAGCCGTCTTGCTATCATAGACATCTCAGGAGTTCTGACTTTCTTTGACTTGGATGCTCGAGTAACGGACAGTACGGGACAGCAAGTAGTTGGAGAGTTGTTAAAATTGGAACGAAGAGATGTCTGGGATATGAAGTGGGCCAAAGATAATCCTGATTTGTTTGCAATGATGGAGAAGACAAGAATGTATGTTTTCAGAAACTTGGATCCTGAGGTAAAAACAAGAAATGAGTGTTAACAGTCTATAAATAATGAGCCAAATATAAAAACCTGGATGATTCCCCTTTGTTTCTTTAAGAAGTTTGTTGAATAGCAGTGCCAACACGGCTGCATGAATTTCTGAAAATAAATAGGAACATTTCTGTGGATTTTAAAAATATTTGGTCTTAGGTGAGAAAATACTTATCTATTAAATATTCTCTACTTTCTCTGAAAGGTACTTCCTAGGCATTTATTTATCTGTTCTTTTTAAAAGGTGGAGCCATGGTCACTAGTCTTTTTTTCCCTTGTCAAACTTAAGAAAACAAAATCAGTAGCCTTATTTACCAGAATTTCTGAAAAGAACCTAATAAAAAAATATAGTTTTCAAATTTCCTTGTCCATTCATTCTTTTCTGTCTCTTTATTCACTTAATTCTGTGCTTACTTTGTCTTATTTATATTTACATTTACCATATCGTTCACAAATCTGTGTTCTTTCTTAACCCAGATATTCTTACAAATATGCAAGTGCAGGCAGGGATTAATCTCTCTTTTGGGTATGAGGAAGTCCCCTTTGTTCTCATTTTTAAGGTTACATTTTGATTTTCTGCTTGTGGCTCACATCAGCTAATTTCTATGCTCTGGATTTTCCTGTCACTTAGTCTACTCTGGCCAACTCTCAGCTGTTGTATTTAGGAAATACAAAATAATCCGAGTGGTAACCTAATCAAAACATCATTAAGAAGATAAATCTTTTAAATGACTTTTGAATTAGTAATGGATTTTCAATTTGGAATTTTCTGTACTTCTGCTGCACTCTACTCTTGTAAATAATAAGGAATAAGTTAATAAATGCTTTATATCATTAATTTCCATTTGTTTGCATGTATAGCTTCCTTCTTGGGAAGAAATTGCATGCTTGGGCCCCTGAGCTGCCAAAGGGTTTCTGGAGTAATTTATTTAGTGGTAAACTGTTTGCCCCTTTAATATCCTAAATTATTTTCACATTTCCCCATTTGAGCCCTACTCAGGAATTTTGGATGTAAAATGCCCTGATGTAAAGTGCTCTCAAAGGCTCTGTTAAAGCTTTTGCAAGTCTTAGGATCTTTGTGATTCTTCGACCCTGAGAAATAGTTCAAAGGAAAGGCATTCAGATTCAGGGCTGCTGCATTTGACCTGTAAGCATGGGCTTCTTTCAAGGGTCCAAGGGAAATTTAATCCTTGCCACAAAACAATTGTGGGAATTTGACAGGTAATCCACAGGATAACCTTGAGGATGGGAGTAGAATACTTTTTGAATGTTAGAGTCTTTTTCTATCCTTAGCCCTGCTCATACTAAATCACAAATCATATGCCTGGAGAAGGGAGAATGTTTGTTGTATCTGGCTGCTCATAATGTGTCTATAGCACACATGGTCAGTCTGGTACCAAGTGAAATCTTTGCCTGGTGGAAAGAGTTTCTTAAGTAGTTTTAACAGAACAGCCTTTTAAAAACATACTGTTTTTTAATTTGAATTTGTTTTCTGGTTTGGCATGTAGTTCGATTTCTGTTAGATTTAGAGCTAGATGGATTTCTTAAAACCTTCCCACTGTCTGGATTTCTTTATAAATGATGCTGTTCTGTTCTTTTCATTCACAAGGACACTGGCTTACTGTGGTCGCAGCTGGTTTAGCTACTCTGCTCATTTGCTTTTCTAGCTGCTTATTGATCATGTAAGAACATGATCTCTTCAAAGCAGGGAAGATCTGTTTTACATACTATTATATTTAATAGTATGTTCCTTAAGGACATAATATTCTATATTATTATTTAGGAGATAAGTTATTGTTTGACAGCTAATAACAATATATTTTTATCCATTTGAGTGTTGTTAAGAATTCTAGATTCATACCTTTATCTAAGCTGTAAATCTTCAGATTATTTGAGAGAAAAAGATGCCATCTGTGTGCAAAGTTTTAATTCACTGATAAAGCACATTTTCTTTGAGAATTAGGAGATGAATATTTAATGTTGATATTCCCTGCTTGATCATTTTCATCTCCAGTGACCCTCTGAAGGTACTGATTGCGCTGTTTTGTTCTTTTTCTTGGCTCTTCCTTCTCATTGGCACTACAATTTCATTTCATGTTTCTTTCATATCTCATAATTTCATCAATCAGACTCATTTTTGTACATTTGCTTCTTTTTCAAACAAGGGGCTCCCAAACTTTTGAATATATGCTCTTATATATACATATTTATTTAGAAATTATTTACATGACCTACCATATTAATATATTATGAATCAAAATAGAAATTTTAAAAGAATGAGAAAAATAAATTATACTGGATGACATAACTTTATTTTTTTAAGTCATGCTAATTGCTATGGTTCATGCTAATGCTACATTAGCTAGTATATCAGCATAATGCACATTTTAGAGCAAGGTTTTGTTAACTTAGTTGATAAAAGTCTCATGTGTCAAATACTCTACTTGATAACTTTGACCTTTTAGCTGACTTTTGGTCAGACCTGATAGGATTGTCATTGTTTTCACGTTGTAATGTGACTGATACAAGAATCTGTGCTAGGAGTAAGAGAGGTGTCAGTTCTGCCTTTTCTTGTTTGCTTGTGCTTGCATTATTAATATTACTTTTAATTTACAAGTTCTTTGCAAGAAGCTTTTTAAGCCATTTGTCCAGTTTGTGAGAGTTAGCTAAAATTAGGTAATACAATCCCTCAATTCACTTAGTTAGGTATATGCAAACCTCAGTATATCACAATATGCTAAAATTGTAGGACAAATAAGGGTACTTCAGGACACTCATTATATGGCACATATTATGAGGCCTTCTGACTTGTGTGCTGGATAAGGGTGCCAATATTTTGTTTGGTGTAGTATAGATTATTAAAGCTTTGGTTACTTTTTTGATAAAAAGAATTATCTTGCATACTGGTTAGGTGAGACCCTGCTGGTCTGAAACTTCATATTTAAATGAAGTGTGTGGATAGATAGCTAATGAATTTTGGAAACTAAAGAAAATTGGTTAATTCCAGCAGAAGTTGAATTTTTAAAATCTGAATTACATAAATGTATTTACTTATGCATTAATAATCAGATTATTTTTCAAACTTTTATTTTTTGATCTCTCTTTCCATCTTTCTCCCTTTCTCTTTGGTAGTATTTTTTTTTTCATGGATCAACTTTTGTGAGTTTATCTTTTGATTATCTTGTTTTGTTGCACTGTCTTGCCAAAAATAAAAAAAAAATTTCTAATGATAAACATGTTTATACAAGGATCTAGGGCAGCTACTTTATAATATGCATATCCTATTCTTTATTTCAACAAGCCTGTATAACACTAAGATAAGAGACAGACATATAACAGTCTCATGCACTTACATATTGGCAAATAAATCTTCTTAAGAGTAGGAGATATATCAGGAATGCACTCTGGCTCATGTTACAGAGGAGAGACTGTTCAGTGTGGTATGGGATTTCTTTGATAGATGGGCTTACATACAAATATAGTGTTTATCAGCTTTATGAAGAATTAACTTTAATATTGAATTGCATGAATTAGAATTTTCAAGCTATATGACTTTTTATTAATTGAGAAAATTGGACTGAATATTACATGCTATTAGGGAATTAACATTAATTATGTAAGGTGTGATCATAGTAATGTGGCCATGTAAGAGAAAATTCTTATGTTTTAAAGATATGTACTGCAGTATTTAGGGATAAAATATCATGATGTCCGTAATTTACTGTATTTACTTTACAATACTTCAGCCAAGAAGTTAAAGGAAGCATATTTACCATAATGCTAATTATTTAGGTTATGGGTATATGGGTGTTAATGACATTCTCTCTTTTGTTTACCTGAAAACTCTGATAATAAAATTTAAAAGCATGATTTGTTAAAAGAGAGGAAATTTTGCATAATGAAACATAACTTTTTTTTTGTCTTTAAAGGAACCCATTCAGACCTCTGGATATATTTGTAATTTTGAGGATTTAGAAATTAAATCTGTTCTTTTGGATGAGATATTAAAGGTAATTCCTAAAAAGTTACATTTCTGTTGCTAGCTTGACAGGGGATTATTTCTGGACCAGGCGGTGTAGTATCCTGGTTAGCAGTGTGGACCCAGGAGTCAGATATATCTCAGGCCCAGCCCTGCTCTCTTATTGTTCAGCCTTTAGGTGGGTGCCACCATCTTTTTGAGCTTCACTTTACTTTCCTGTAAAATGATGATAAAAATGTATAAGTCTCAGTTATTGCCTTTATAAAATACAGATAATAATACTACTTATAGGATTGTTATTATATAAGATAATGTGTGAAAAGCAATTAGCACAATGCTACGGCCAAGTGAGAGCTAAAAAAAATGAGTGCTAATTGTTGTCATTGTTTTTGTAGTAATAACGAGGTACTGAAGAAATATTTAAGAGTTTAGCCTTTTTCTAGTTCTAAGATACTTGAGTAACTTTTTTTTAGAGATCTATCTTTCCATTTTTTCCAGGTTTTGTAAAATAATCCTTTTTTCTCTTTTTAAATTCAAGACATGATTTTGAACCCCTGCATTGGCCTACATTGACCATCCTTTGAGAATTTTTTTTCTCTAAGAATATACTGAGAGAAGTTTTACCTTCATTTTAGCCAAAGCATTAACTTTTTCTATGTAATATATATATAGTTTTTGAATTGAGATAGTAGATTTAAAATTTCCAGAAGTTAGTGGCAATTTGGAACAGGTTTGGGTTTGATATGTAAATCATATTTGGGTTTGATATGTAAATTATGGCTATTTTATTGTGAGCCAGTTTCATTTTCTATATCATAACCACCATGCAGCAATGGGATGGGCCCCCACCCAAAATTTGGTTTGGATGTAAAGATTGATGATACCATAGGGACACCAGGAATGTATCTTCCATAATGAAACTTTTAGGGGAGAGAAGGGCAGGCTTCCCAAGCTGTCAGAAATGGCTGGACAGCACAGGGAAAGGAGACTGGCTTGAGGGTGTTTTTGTTGTTGTTTTGTTGTTTAGTAGTTAGGGAGTGGGTCTGGGGTGAGGCTTTTAATGGATAGGGGCTTATGTGGTTTGAAACTCACTGGTGCCCCAAAGGAAGAAGCATCTGGGCTTTCTCATTAGCTTGCCCCATGTGAGGCAGAGGGGAAGAGGGAGAGGTGAGGTTTAAAAGCTGTCAGCAGCCAACCATCAAAAATGGAGTCTGGGCTGTTATTACCTAGGATTATGTAACCTCCAGATTTGACTATCTGACTCTTCTGTATATGGATAGCACTTTTCTTGTCCTTGTTTAAGGTATATGACTTGTAAAACTAATGAACTTATTTCATTGCCCGTTTAACTTGAATACAGTACCACCAGATAATATTTTTTCCTTTTCCACACGTGTGAAGAAAGATATCTATTGTTTTTTTTTCAGCAGGGTTTCTCTCTGTTGCCCAGGCTGGAGTGCAGTGGTGCCATCATGGCTCACTGTAGCCTCTGCCCCCCAGGCTCAAGTGATCCTCCCATCTCAGCCTCCTGAGTAGCTGGGGTCCCAGGCACAGGCCGCCATGCTTGGCTAATTTTTTGTGTTTTTTTTTTTTTTTTTTTGTAGAGATGGGGTTTGCCATGTTGGTCAAGGGTGGTCTTGAACTCCTGGGCTCAAGTGAAACTCTCATTTTGCCCTCCCAAAATGTTAGGATTACAGGCGTGAGCCACCATGCCCAGCCAGAAGATGTCTTTCTGCTTGTCTTCTTTCCCAAGAGATTTAGGGAAAGAAGACATTATTTATTTATTTCTTTTTTTTTTATTTTGAATATGTGGTTCTTCCAGGGCCCTTTAAAAAGACAGTCATAAGTGGGTAGAATCAAACTAAGGTGACTGAAATATTTTGTCTGCTTTTATATATTTAATGGTTTGATAAAGAGTGAGCTTCTTGAATCCCTAACATTTAGCAAGGATCTGATACAGAGTTGGTTTTCAGAAAGTGTTGGTTAAATTGATTTTTAAAAATGAATACTTTACTGCTTTTAAACAAATGGCAGAATTATATAGAATTCAAGCAAAACAGAAAAGTACTGAAACAAGTTAAAAAAAAACCCTAAATCCCACAACTCAGATATTTTAGTCACTACCGTTAAACATCAGAACATCATTCCTTACAGCTGCAAGTTATATATGGAAATATGGATTTGATAGATTTAGATAGATGAACAGAAGTAATTTTATAAAAATGACATCATTGTACAATCTACTTTTTTAGTGTTAATTTAATTAGATAACCTGAAAGTGAGTTTAAAGGAATTCTAGACTTTTAGATAATATTTTTCCACTGCAAAGAATACCATTTTCCTGGGTTGAGAAGAAAAATTATGAAAAACCAGGTAGTTATTAGTTTAAATTATATTTTAATTTTTAATAGTATTGTCTTTCTACTCTAAAAGATAACATTCTTACATTTTCTTCTTTTTCTCCTTTTGTAGATATATTATTTTTACATTGTCAAGATTTAGAACATTTAAATTTCGTCTTGTAATCCTAATTTCCAGTTGTTTAGTCTTAATAGTTAAATGAATTCAAAGCTATTAGCCAGGCTTTTTACTACATTTTCTCCTTACGTAAGTTCTTAATTTTGATTAATCTTTTAGTTGGCTGGATTTCATTGTTAGTAGTGTTTTTCAAGAAAGGCTCATAATTTCCGATTGCCTTAAGCTCTAGAATGTGTGAAAATGCCTGTGGTGTTGTTGCTGTAATTGATGATTATATTGAATTTTGTGAAGTTTTTTAGATAAAGAAGGCTCTCAGTGGTAAAATGATTTACCTAAAGTTCATCTATTCATTAATTCAGCAACTATTAATTAACAGCCAATAAGACACAGTTCTTGGCCTCAGGTAGAGGAGTTGAGGAGATGGATAAGTAATTCAGTTGCCAGAAAAGAGTTAGGGGTGCTGTGATTCAGTCAGGATGGTACACCTGTTCAAAATTCTGAAGCAGGAGAGCATTAGGTCAGTTCTGAGATGATGAATATTGAATACCGTAAATAGTACAGCTAGGCATTGTGCTGAATCTTTGAGACATGTTATCTCATTTAAGGTGAAAAACCAATCTGAGCAGAGGGAAACAGGGATGCATAACTGTGAGGGACCCCTTCTGCCATTTTCCTCTGTCCCCTTTTCCTCATAGGCCGCCTGATTGCCTCAGAGGTACTTACTTGTGGGTTTTGGTGTTTTCCAGATAACTCAAAAGACCCAAACGTGAAGATTTCTCTTCCTTATTTTGCTCACAATATGATGCCGTTTTTTTTCTTGTTTTGTTTTGTTCTGGTTTTTAATATAAAAAAGAAACACATACTCTAACGGCAAATATTTGAATTTTTTTGTTTTCATCTTTACTTTTAGGATCCAGAACATCCAAACAAGGATTACCTAATTAACTTTGAGATTCGGTCTCTGCGAGATAGCCGAGCACTGATTGAGAAGGTTGGAATTAAAGATGCATCTCAGTTCATAGAGGACAATCCACACCCCCGACTTTGGTATTTAAAAAAAGCAAACTCTCCCAGGATGTCAGGTGTAGGTTTTTAAAGTCTCAGTTTTGTCCCTCTGCTCCCCTACTATCCTCCTGATGGGAGCAGACTTCCATTCTTGCTCTTCTTTTTAAGATGTAGAAATTCATTTAGATTTGGAAGTCCTCAAAATAAGCAGAAAATTATTTGAAAAATGTTTGCATATGTTACTTTCCACCATGTTTCTCTAGAAATAATAGACATAAATGATAATTGAATTGTGATTCAAGACTAGTTTGTCAGTAATTTGCAATATGCACTTATGTTTTTGTTTCTTTTAAAATAAAGGCGCCTACTGGCTGAAGCAGCTCTTCAGAAACTGGATCTATACACTGCAGAGCAAGCATTTGTGCGCTGCAAAGATTACCAAGGCATTAAGTTTGTGAAGCGCTTGGGCAAACTACTGAGTGAGTCAATGAAACAGGCTGAAGTTGTTGGCTACTTCGGCAGGTTTGAAGAGGCTGAAAGAACGTATCTCGAGATGGACAGAAGGTAAGTTATGAAGGCGCAGGCATCCCTGAGTACTCTATCAGTTCATCATTGTATTTTTTACAAATGGAAACTATAAATACGTTAGGTGTATCATATGGTTCCTTTTAGAAATTAATTTTAAGTTTGGATTACAACCTAGATATTCTACATGCCTCTCATTCATTTGTGTTTCATAGTCTGGAGGCAGTTTTCTTCTCTGTTTTTACATCTAATAATGGCTGACTCTGGGAGGTTTTTTTTTCATTTGATGGGAAAAAATGATAGAACAACAGAGACTGGGATCTTTTATATTTAAGACATAGCTCATTATTCCAGTTCTTTCTTTCTTTGTTTGTTTAGGCCATTATTTAATTTTATGTTGTCAAGAGGCATAAAATAAAAATCAGAAGTCGTTAGGGATCGAGATTAGTTCTTTATATTTCGTTTTTGATTTATATAAAATAATGTATGAACTTCATAAATATTTCTTCTTTTGAATTAAAGAACTGTAAGGCCTGTCTCCCTGGCCAGGAATCAAACCCAGGCAGCTGCTATGAAAGCAGATAATCTTAGCCACTGAACCACAAGGCGGAGAGTCTGTCTGAACTTCATTTCAGCTGTTAAGATTGTATCTCATCTTCATTAATGTTATTTATACTCCCAGGAGATCTCTAATATGACTTAGGCTCTGAAAAGTCATATAAAACCACATGTGTTAACACTGTGTTTTGTTTTGAAATAAACCTGATCACATCTAAGAAATTGCTGAAAAGAAATGATTGTTATTTAAATCATTATTTTGCTAAATAAATTGAAAGTCCAGGAAAGTAAAGGCACAACATTCTTTTCCCTGTTCTGGTATCTTAGACCATTTGGGGTGCTATAACAAGATACCTGAGACTGGATAATTTATAAAGAACAGAAATATTTTTCTCACAGTTCTGGAGACTAGGAAGTCTAAGATCAAGGCGTCAACAAGTTTGGTGTCTGTTGAGGGCCCTGTCTCACTTTCAAGATGGTGCTTTGAATGTTATGCCTTTACATGGTGGAAAGTGAAAAGGGCAAAAGGGGCAAATTCTCTGAGGAGTCTTTTATGAGGGCATTAATCAATTCATAAGGGCAGACATAATGACTTCCCAGAAACCCCACCTCTTAATACTACCACAATGGAGATTAAGTTTTAACATGAATTTTGGAGGGGACACACATTCAAACCATAACCTCCAGGTGCTCCTCATTTCCTCTTAGCTAGTCAGGCTAAGTTCCTAAAGTGTTTGGAGAGTCACATTGTCCACTGCTGTGTAGCCTCAGCACCTAGAACTGTACCTAACACACAGCAGGCTCTTGGTAAATATTTGTCAAATAGATGAATGAATGAATGAATGCCTTTGTTTGTAGGGATCTTGCTATTGGCCTCCGGCTGAAATTGGGGGATTGGTTTAGAGTACTCCAGCTCCTGAAAACTGGATCTGGTGATGCAGATGACAGTCTCCTGGAACAAGCCAACAATGCCATTGGAGACTACTTTGCTGATCGACAAAAGTGGTATGTAACTTACCTGGAGCTCCTCAAGCATTCATGCAACACTTAGTAGCTGCCTGAGTACTTCTCTAGGAAGTAATCCTGGGGAAATGAAGATCATTTTCTTGAATTCTAAAATTCAGATAGCTCTAGATTCATCTTGGAAAGCCGGAGATCCTGTGAAGTTGTGAGATGAGCACTATAAAAATTTGTAGTGTATAAACACAAAACTTGTACTTAGCTCCATGCAGCTTTCTGTTTGAGCCTACAGTATATAATTCTAAGGTGTTTTATGTTTTATTTTTGAACAAAGTTTAATAAGTGTTTTTATTTGCTTTATTATATATTATTTTCAGAAATCATTGGCTTTTCTTTTCATTTTGATTAGTATGCTTATTTATGTCAGTGTTTGGGAGTAAAGCGGTGGTATTTCTTAAGAATAGTCAAGGAATGTTACAACTAGAATATGCTTTAGATTTTTTTCCCCATTTATATGTTTGAAAGTTATTCTGAAGCTGAAGATAATGAACAGTAATACTAGTACTGGGAATTATGATGAAGGAACATTTTGGTTGAAAGTGCTTATTTATCAGGAGATTCACATTAGTTTTAAAAGTTTTTCCTTTTTTCTTTCTGTAGGTTGAATGCTGTACAATATTATGTACAAGGACGGAACCAGGAACGCTTAGCTGAATGTTACTATATGTTAGAGGATTATGAAGGGTTAGAGAACCTTGCCATTTCACTTCCAGAAAACCACAAGTTACTTCCAGTAGGTATTGCAAATTTTAGTTTTTGGAATTGTTAGGTTACTTTATAAAATTTTATGTTATAGTCAGGAAATATCTCCCACAATAAAGAAAATTAAAAATCTATAATGTTACAGTTTCTTAGACATGGAATGATGCTTTTAATTATAAAGTAATATATAAATAATATAGAATGCTTGAAAATGGAGGAGGAAAAGTCAGTCACATTCTTACTACTTTAATATGATCACAGTCTTGTGTAGTCTGTTAAGATTTATAAAGTTACTTTTTAAATGTTAGCTGAATACATGAAATATTTACAGATGAAATGATATGTTGCTAGGGATTTGCTTCAAAATAATCTGAAATTGTTTGAAATTTGCTATAACTTAAGTTTAAAAAGATAGCTCAACTTTTATTATGTTATATTAACAATAAAGTATTTCAAGTTAAAAGAGAAATGGAAAGAGTTCTCTTGCTTTCAAATGTTCTTTTAGAGCCTCTTAATTAATTGTTGAATACTGTAAATAAGTTTGTATTTTATGTGTTTAATATGTGAATCACTGAGCCGTACAATACTTGTAGAGCTAGCAGCTCTCAACTGCAGAGTCTGGATGTATATCAGTTGTGAGTTCTGCTTCAAAAATTTTGCCTATTAGTTAATAGATAAGTATAGAATTACGGTAATTCAGTTTTCCCTATTGTGAATTTGAGCGGCTATCTCTGTAATAATGGTATTTTCACTCACCCTTATTTTCAATCCTATGGGTTTTCTTGAGTAGGAAAGAAACTGAAATTACTTAGAACCCTGGGTATAGGGAAGAGTGTATACTCCGTTAGTGTTGTCTGTTAGATGTGTCTGATGATGCCGATAAACATTTTGCTGTAGGGTATCCAGAATAGTAATATTCCTGAGTAAATGCTAAGTAATTATAACTATAATGATAATTAAATAACTAAAATAGTAAAAATTTTAGTATTATAAATTTTAAATAGAGTTATAGAAGAATTTTTAATAATATGGGAAGGTGTACATAATATTTAAGTAGGAAATACAGGATACAAAATTGTGTATTGTGTGATTGTGTACAACACAAACATATACATATATATTCAAAGGACAAAGATGTTAAGAAATTGCACCAGAGTATTGAGAGAGGTTTCTTATGAATGATAAGATTATGAGTAATTTCACTTTTTCATGTTTTGTAATTTTTTTTACAGATAGAATGTATTCCCTTATAATCAGAAAAATATAAGCATTGTTTTAAAAGTTGGATATAAAATATACTTTCATACTTCCAAACATATTGTAGAAGGGTTGGGGAGGGAAAACCTCTGGCTAATTAGATATTCTGAAAGAAAAAAAATGATGTTCTGAAAATGGCCAGTGCAGCTGAACAAGTAGGATTTTTTTTTGTGGTGGTGGTGGTGGTGGTGGTGGTGGTGGTGGTGGTGGTGGTGGTGGTTCTTCCTCGCTGCCACCACTTTCCAAG